>NC_000013.11:84521731-84674572 GCF_000001405.40 Homo sapiens
ATATTTTCTTTCTTTACACTGACTCACTAGTCCTACTAACTTTTCCAATTATTATTACCTCAACTAGCATTTATAAAGACAGTTTGTACCCCAATGATGTAAAATCATCCATTGCATTTACCTTTATTAGCAGCCTCATCCCCACCACCAGATTCATCTATACAGGCCAATAAACTATTGTTTCAAACTGACACTGAATGACAGTTCAAACCCTAAAGCTTTCACTCAGCTTTAAACTAGATTACTTCTTTACAATATTCATTCCAGTAGCACTATTTGTCACATGATGTATTATAGAATTCTCAATATTGTATATATATACTCAGGCCCCAACATAAATCAATTCTTCAAATATCTACTCATTTTTCTCATTACTATACTAATTCTAGTCACTGCCAACAACCTATTCCAACTCTTTATCGAATGGAAAGGCGTAGGTATTGTTGGTCCAAGCTGCACCATTTTGTAAGCGCCACTTTGCAGACCCTAATCAGAGTGAAACATTCCACAGAGGTTCGGGCCATGAGAACCACCCTGCCTAACCACCTGACCACAAAGCACAGGAACATTCTTATAACACCCTGCCGGGCAAAGGCACAACTGAAGGGATATCCTTCTGAACATCCTCCCAGACAGCAAGACGTACCACAAAGACCACCAACCCCGAACCTATAAATTACCCCAGCCTGTAAGCAGCAGTGGGCTCTGGCATTAAGCTGGTCCCCCACCTCCGCACGTAGTGCTGGCAATAAACCTGTGTTGCTGTAGAGCCGCCAACTCTCTGTCTTTCTTCAATCTTTACCTTACCATCAAAACCTAACTAGGTCCTTCCTGCTAATTGGCTGATGGTATGGCGGAACAGACACCAACACAGCAACCCTTCAAGCAATCTGACATGATTGCCTCAGAGACATCAGCTTTATCCTAGCAATAGCACAATTTCTCTTGTCCAGTATATTAGAACTTCAGCAAATATTTATCCTCAACCCTAGCCCCAGTACTCTCCCACTAATTGGTTTTCTAGTAGCAGCAGCTAGCAGATCAGCTCAATTTGGTCTCCACCCCTAACTCCTGTCAGCTATAGAAGCCCCAGCACCCATCTCAGCCCTACTCCACTCTAGCACAATAGTGGTAGCAGGCGTTTTCCTACCAATACAATTTTATTCCCTAATAGATAATAACATAAATATTCAAACACTCACATTATGCTTAGGAGCTATTACTACACTATTTACAGCAATCTGCACTCTAACACAAAATGACATATAAAAAATTGTGGCATTTTTCACCTCGAGTTAACTAGGACTCATAATAGTTACAATTGGTATTAACCAACCTTACCTAGCTTTTCTTCATATTTGTACACATGCCTTTTTCAAAGCTACATTATTTATATGCTCCAGGTCTATTATTCATAACCTCAATGATGAGCAAGCTATTCAAAACATAGGTAGGCTATTTAAAGCTTGCCCTTTACCTCTTCCTCACATACTATTGGCAGCCTCGCACTCAGGTATATACCTTTCCTCAAAGGCTTCTGCTCCAAAGATCTTATTATTGAAGCCACAAACACATCATATACCAATGCCCGAGCCCTCTTAATCACACTCATTGCCACCTCCCTAACAGCTGTCTGCAGTACCCAAATTATCTTCTTCGCACTGGTAGGACAACTTCGCTTCACAACCTTAGTTGTTATCAACAAAAATAATGCCTCCTAATTAATTCAATTAAACATTGAAAAATTGGTAGCATTTTTGCCAGATTTTTAATCTCCAACAATATCTCCCCAATATCAATTCCCCAAATAATTATGCCTCTCCATATAAAGCTCACAGTTCTGGGCACAACTATCCTAGGCTTCTCACTAGCACTATAACTCAACCTTATCACTAATAACCTCAAACTTAAATACCCATCACAAATATTTAAATTTTCCAATGTATTAGGATTTTATTCAACCTCAATGCGCCATGCAACACCATATTCAAACTTCCTTGCAAGCCAAAATATAGCCTCCCTTCTACTAAATCTAATCTGAATAGAAAGGACAACACCAAAAACACTGCCCAACTTCAGATCATAGCCTCAACCACTGTACCTGCCCAGAAAGGCCTAATTATGCTCCACTTTTTCTCTTTCCTTATTCCATTTCTCCTAACCTTATTCTTAATCATTTAACCCTACTTCCCTGGGTAATCTCTATTGTGATAAAAATACTAACAAACAAAGATTAACCAGCAACCACCACCAGTCAACTCTCATAGCTATATAATGTGGCCACACCTATAGAATCCTCACCGAGTAATCCCACTTCCTCGCCTTCAAATATTACCCAATTTTCCATGTTTTTAAAATTGATTACAATTTCTACCTCGTTCTAATTATTCACACTACCATTACCAACTCTAATACCAAATGTAATATCACCTCAAATGTCACCTCGTAATGTCACCCCAAATGACAACACTTGGCCCCCAAGCAATTGAAGGTGTTAAATACAGAGAAGTCCTCAGGATTGGGAGTTAAGACCCTAGGATTAAACTCCTGGGGGCTTGTATGTATTTAACACCTCTGTAGCTTCACCTCTGTAGCTCCCAAGATTTTTCTTGGGAAGATGGATATGTTTGCTTTTTTTGATGATCTCTTCAGACTTCATGTTTTCACCTATCAGTCCTTCAAGCTGATTCTTTAGTGGCCCTGATAGTAATAATCTAATGTGATTATTATGCATTGTATAACTTTCAAAATATCTCATGTACCTCATAAATATATACACCTACTGAATACCCACAAAAATTAAAAATATATTTTTAAAAATTTCCTTGTTTAGAGTTTTATGATGGTATATACAATGTGCATTTTGTTTTTATTTCAATATCAGCTCAGACTAGGTTTACTTGTAGAAAAAAACTATGCAAAATATTGTTAGCTTGCAAGAACAAAGGTTTATTTCTTACACATTTTAATGTTTACTGCTAGTCAACTTTTGCTTTGTTTCAAGTCTTTTTTATGACAGTACACCAGCTAAATAGCAGCCTTTGTCTCTGATTACCAAGACCCATGACACATGGGAAAATAGAGAAAGCAGGCTCTCGTCAAGACTCTTAAGCTCTTGCTCAAAAGTGACACATGCGCTACAAACTCACATTTCATTCAAAAAAGCAATTCATATGACCAATCCGAATTCAATAGAAAGTATAATTCTTCCACAAGGATATATCTGGTACAGAGGAAAAGCAAAGCTTTTGACAATACCAAAAGAATTTAACAGAATCCATCCTCATGTACAAAATATTATTTTTTTTTTCATTTAAGCACAAAAAAATACATTCATTCTTTTTCTAGGTAGACAATGCATTGCCCCATTCACTTATGACATCAGGTCCAAGTTGAGGATTTTTTTGATGGCCCCCACATTAGACTTGAATAGGATTACATTAAACCCGGAGATCTATATATGAAATTGTCAAATTATCTGCTTCTCACTTCCTTCTGTGATTTCTGAATCCATACATTTAGCATAAAAGTAGTAGAATGGGGATAATATAATCATAGTTAATGATTTCATTTAGAAAGGCACATAGCAGTTACTCTTCCTTAGTATCCCGAAAGCCTACTGGGTAGAAATTGCAAAGGGACCATTCACTGGTGTTTGGGAATGTTTCTTGATTAGCGCCCAGTCTATGATTCTGAACAGCTTTCCAGCTCACTATTTCCCACATTCCTTAGCTCCACCACCCAGTTTTGTCTTTTTCACCACCTTATATTTTCATGCCAGTATAATGCTTGGTTTGTAATAGTTGCACAGCAAAGGCCTACTAAGTGAGTAAACAATTTACAAAACAAGGTAAATATAAGGAATGAAGTGTTATATAATGTAGAACAGATTTGTAAGCCTTAGAAAAATCAAAGGAGCTCAATTAAGACTATTATTTCAGGAAACCCTGGAAAGGTAGGGTATGAGATGGTAAGAAAATAACATTTTCAGCAAATGGAGAAAATGAGTAAAGTCATCAATGAACATATGTAAGACAAGCTTGATGAGGATTTTGAAGGAAAATAACTTTACATATAAAAGAATTATAAACTGCTAATACAAATTTTTAAGTATCTAACATTTAAATTTATCAATTTAAATATTTTATACAATGCATATATTTTTTATGTAAAATAACAACTGAAATGAAAGTTGCTCATGTTGCCTTCAGAATCTTCTTTCTCTTATTATTTAAACACACAGAAGCATCTTCTCATTAAAAAATGACACTAGGACCAGTGAACCTACAAAGTGTTCTTGCTCTACCCTTCTCACTGTGATTTATGATCATGTATTTAAAGTGTCTTCCCAAAGCATTAAAATGATAAAGGGTTCCAGGATTACAAAATAATGCCACTGGAGAGTTCAAAGGAATCATTAGAGACTTTTGGGATAGAAAGAATGGAATGTTGTTTTATTATTTCATTGATCCTCTCTACATTTCTGCTCAATTCTTCCTTAGTGTTTCTGCTACACAATAAATTAAGTAACTGGCTGTCAACTAAATTCATTCCCACCTGAGAGAAAAAAGAAAAAAAATGGAGAATTTGCCATATGTGAGTTTGCACATAAGCTGTTAACTTTTAAATGTTGATGCCTCTCATGTGAACAGTAATTAAGCAGACATGATAGAGCAACTCCAGTAAGTACTTAACTGGATTATTTGCATGCTCCCATGTCTATTACTATATTTCTCCTATCTCATTCAACATTTGGTAAACACACGTTAGCTCCCTGCTGTAAGTAATTCAATATGCTGGTTGCTGAGGTTTTTACAGAGGAATATGAAAATGGAATAAAATTCATACAAACAGTGTCCTGCCTTTGTCACTCAGTAGACATGAAACTTTGTGCAAGTTGCTTCACCATTTCTGGGCCTCAGTTTCCTCATTTGTAATACAGGAATGTCAACAAGCCCCATCTCACAGGGTTACTAAGAAAAATGAATGTTTGTATGGAAAGCATTCAAATATTAGCTTTTATTAATATTGTTAAAATTGTGAAAATTGCTAGAAAACTACAATATGGTATGACTAATTGATTTAATGCAAGTAGATATCAAACTCTATAGAACTGTGAAGAAGGGCTCAACACTATTTTAGAATAAGATTTACCAGGAAAAGTAATTTTTGAGCTGACCCCTGAAGAAAGAATAGAAATTAACCCGATTGGTGGAGCAGAAGAAGGTCAGTACAGGAAAAGAACAGCATATGTTACAAGATACATGTGCTAGAGCATATCACATTTTTATAATTGCAAGCCATTTTTGCATAGCTGGAACAACATTTTCCGGGGAAAAGCTTCTGAAAATGGTGCTGGAAAATATTTCTCATGTGGTTTTTGTCTTTGGTTCTGTTTATATGCTGGATTACATTTATTGATTTGCATATATTGAACCAGCCTTGCATCCCAGGGATGAAGCCCACTTGATCATGGTGGATAAGCTTTTTGATGTGCTGCTGTATTCGGTTTGCCAGTATTTTGCAATGGCAACAAAGCCAAAATTGACAAATGGGATTTAATTAAACTAAAGAGCTTCTGCACAGCAAAAGAAACTACCATCAGACTGAACAGGCAACCTACAAAATGGGAGAAAATTTTTGCAACCTACTTATCTGACAAAGGGCTAATATCCAGAATCTACAATGAACTCAAACAAATTTACAAGAAAAAAACAAACAACCACATCAAAAAGTGGGCAAAGGATATGAACAGACACTTCTCAAAAGAAGACATTTATGCAGCCAAAAGACACATGAAAAAATGCTCATCATCACTGGCCATCAGAGAAATGCAAATCAAAACCACAATGAGATACCATCTCACACCAGTTAGAATGGCAATCATTAAAAAGTCAGGAAACAACAGGTGCTGGAGAGGATGTGGAGAAATAGGAACACTTTCACACTGTTGGCGGGACTGTAAACTAGTTCAACCATTGTGTAAGTCAGTGTGGCGATTCCTCAGGGACCTAGAACTAGAAATACCATTTGACCCAGCCATCCCATTACTGGGTATATACCCAAAGGACTATAAATCATGCTGCTATAAAGACACATGCACACAAAGGTTAAGAATCCTCTGGACTGGTGGGGCCAAGCTGCTCCTGGACAACTGGTCACTATACTCTGCGGGTGGTGTCAGCCAAAGCATTTCACAATGTGGTGGCAATGGGATCTGTCCTCATTCTCACTTGCTAGCAGCAGTGGCAGTGCAGTGGAGTGCAGGCTCATTGGTTGTGGCAGGGTATTAGTGGGCACCAGGATGCCTGCCTCTATGTGGGCATTCACCACAGTGGCAGAGGCATCATGGGCGTGTGGGGCAAGGAACCTCTGCTAGTGACTGTGTGTGGTCCTGCTGCTGGTGGTATTATCATGAGGTCAGGAAACTGGTGGGAACGGGTCTGTGTATGCTCTCTATGTGCCACAGGTAGGGGTAGTTGCTCAGGGTGTGGGAGGATCCACTATTCTCACTGCCTAGTTTCACTCTTCCAGCAGTGTTGGTGCGAGGGTGGGGCACTGGTGGGGCCAGGCTGGCTGGCTGTGTGTCTTCCAAGGCTATTACTACATTGCAGATTAGTGGGGGTATAGGTTCCAAGTGAACTTTGCCTCAGCAGTGGCAGAGCAAGGTGCATATACACACATGCACTGGTAGGGCAAGGATGGCAAAACCTGCCCATGCACACACATGCTAGTAAAGCTATGTGGTTGGTTGCTGTGGGCCTGTGGGAAGCTGCAATATGGGCAGCAAGTAGATGGGCTGGTGCGTGGCCATGGGGTTAACCCCCATATTTCTCCACCATTCAGGCATGGTCCACTTGCTTAGGAGCTATGATGCGGAGTCCCAGGGCACCTGAGGCTGCCCTGCCAACAGGTTCAGACAAGCTGGGGTCCCAGAAGAGGACAATAGACCAAGTGCTGCTTAGGTCAGACTGCCCAGTCCAATGGGCAAGATTGCCCTGCAGAATTCATGTAAGACAGTTCTGCTAGGGCTAAAGTCTGCTGTGGGAATAAATCAAGCCTAGGGAAATGGGTGTTCTTGGCCATGTTCTGCTACAGACACTCCTGCACCAAACTCTCTGGCCTCCACATCTCCTGGCATGCTGATCACACGGAAGATGCTTTCATCCTGCCAACTTGGGAATAGGAGGTGGAAGCAGCTGGCAACTAAAGGCTGGAACACTTGCTACTGGATAATCATAGCTTTTAATGTTGCACCTTTCAGGTTCTTAAGGGAGTCTGTTTTGGTTCCATTTCATACATGTTTGGAAAATAATCTGCAGAAATGAGCTGTGCTTGCAAGGACCTCATAGTTCCCAAGAATTAAAAAAAGAAAAAGAATTCCACTTGATCAACTTAATTCCTTTTCTTTATCTTCCTTCCGTCACTTCCCTTTTCTCCCACCCTCTTTTCCAAGCTGTTTCACTTTGCAATATGTTACTGGTAATAAGTTGCAGGATAACACAATCTTAATTTGTTTTCTCTTATGTATATGAGTTCAAAACTCCTGTATCTAAAGAAATACGATTGGGGTCATTAATAAAAAGAAAATTTCTATCTTAAAAATAAATAAATAAATAAATACCACTTATCTTACCACTTCTTAAGCAGCAGTGACAAAAGGTCTCATTCTGTCAGGATTCCAGAGGCCTAAGGTCAGAGTGGGCTGCTTCTTGCCAGTTCAACTCACCAATTCCCTCAGAGTCTTAGCTTTATTTATAATTTTCATGTTTTTCACTCTTGTTTTAACTCCATTATTACTGACTCACATGAACTACTCTTCCAAACTGTTCCTAGAACCATAACAAAGGTAAGTAAAAGAACAGTCTAACTTCAGAATTGAAATCAATTCAGAATAACAAGGGAATGTGTGAAATTTGACCTCTCAACATAGCAGCCATAATTACCAAGTCATTGACTTCTCTTAGCCTCAATTATTTTTTATTGTAAAATTGTGAAAATAAATATTTCACTCAAGTTATTATAAGTATAAATATAATTGGTATGTAAAAGTACATGGTATGTTACATAAATATTCAAAAGTAAAGTTATGATTTCATTTATCATCGTCATCAACAATTATTATCCTCAGTATTATTCAAAGTTAGATTACCCATACGAAATAAATACAGATGTTCAAAATATAGACTGAGACTAATTCTCTATGACTGATTTCTTTTTCGCCCCCAAAATGTGAATTTCCTTAAACAGATTATCGTGGGTAAATTTTTTTAAATTGCTTCCTTTGGAAATTGGTCTGTGAGTTAATGGATGCTTGTATTTTCCTTAGAAAAATTAAAGTAAATGTATGTAAAATTATATTTTATTGGAAATGTCCTCTAGTGAATTGTGATTTAATATTGTTCTTGTTTTTGACACATAGGATGAAAAGCAGTTATCACGATTTTTAGAGCATTTTGGGATTTTCCTTGGCTACAAGTAATAGAATTATTACCAGTGACCCCTCACATAAAGAAATATTCAAATATTCAAAGGCAAGCAGTCTGGAGCTTCAGCTAAGGCTCTATAGTATCAGCAACATCCCAATCTCCTTCTATGTTTCTGCCTGACCATCTTGAGTATGAGCCTTTTTTTTTTTTCAATAACATTATGGTTGCATGGTCATGCTCCATCAGTGGCTTCATATTTGCAATCCATGCCAGAATAGTTACAGGGATAAATAAGCAACAAAGAGAAAGGTGATACTTATATCAAGAAAACAAAATTTCCCAGAAATCCCTAGCAGATATTCATCAACAGTAACTCTATCTCATGACTAGCCTGAACTGCAAAGCAGGCTGGGAAACGCAGTTTATCAACTGGACACATTGTTACCCTAAACAAAATGGAAACTTTGCTGATGAGGAAATAGAAGAGACTAGATATTGAGTAGGCAACAATAGGGTGAAACATCATCAACAGGATGAAAACATCTTCCGTGTGATCAGCATGCCAGGAGACGTGGAGGCCAGAGGGTTTGGTGCAGGAGTGTCTGTAGCAGAACATGGCCAAAGGCACCCATTTCTCTAGTTGTCAGGCTCTTTTAGTAAATAGAGACAGATGGTAGCTGTATAAAATTTCTTTCTAACCTGCCATCGTGGAACATGTTACAATGACAGTGCATGTGTTCTGAGTTTATGATACTAAGTTAAAAAGAAAGATACATGAATTATTCTATATAATTATTGAAGTACAAATTCATTTAAAAGATTGTGACTATCAAGTGGTTTATAATCAATATTGAATGGTAATTAAGTATATACATATTAATTTACTACTTACAATTATAATCATCTGAACAATGTGTTGTTTTTATAAAATGAAATTTAGATTTGTTTGCTTATTGTATTTGAAGCTTCTAATTTTAAGGCTCAGTATTTCTGTAAATACCACTAACTTATATTGCTTCTCTTAAAATATACATTTTTAGTGTTCTGTTTAAATATACATTTTAGTGTTCTGTTATTGCTTTAAGTGTTAATATGTATTGATGTATTTATTATGTATATATTTAATATGGTATTGACAATCAGAGGAGTTGCTGTGTATTAATCTAAGCAAATGTTTGCAGTGAACAATTGTCAGGTTCTTTTAGTAAATAGAGACAGATGGTGGCTGTTTAAAATTTCTTTCTAACCTGTTATCGTGGAACATGTTACAGTGAAAGTAGACTTCAGAATGGATTCTGATAAACATACAAATATTTATCACCAAGTATATATAAAAAAATCACATAATGTAATTTATAGTGTTAATTGTTTCTTTGAAGCACTTTTACAAGAACTTTGAAATTCTCAGTTTACTCTAAAGCAGATAAAATTATAACTTGATAGAAGGACCAGCCATGTTTCTACTTGGCTCAGGTATCAGAATATTTGATTAAGAAAAAAGAAGAGGGAGAGAAAAATTGTTGTATGATGTGTGAATGTACTATACACTCTTTTTAGACAACCATATATCCTGAATATCCCTTATTCTTCCCAAATAAAACATTTTAATATTTATAATGTTAAGTATGAGCCTTGTGTTGAATATTTACTTAATGATGTATAAAGAGTTTGTATAAGATTTCTGAAGTCTGAATCCCCAATCAAGGACCTTCAAATGCTAATTATCTACCTCCAAATTGTGTAGTCTTAATTAGGGTCCTACAAATGTACCATAAAATCCCTCAGGTATAGGATAAAATTAATTCATACACACACGCACACTGCTCCATATACTGAGTTATTTTAAATTTCAAACATAATCTATAAATACATTTGTCAAAAAGGTGAAGGTTGCCTTTATACTGCACAGCAGCTAAGGATTGGATGGAGGACAAAGTCAACGCTTAGAGGGCTTTGCATTACCAAATGGGCCAACAAGTTTAAGAATACCTGAACATGAAAGCAATAAAACGATAGCAGTAATTAGCAGTAGACACTTTGTCCAAATGACCAAATGGTATCTTGAGATACCACTGTGGCTCTGAGAACCCTGTTACTCCTCATACCTCTGACTTTTAGGATATTTCTTGAAGTCTAAAGTGCCATTAATTGGCTATCAGATGCTTCCCTTCTCCTCTTTCAAGGTCCATTGGACTTAACAGGGATATTTTGTAATTTTTGGTCTTACCCTGTGTCCATTTGCATGTTTCATGTGATTCCTAGGATTTCAATGTGCCCTTGTACTTTGCAAGAAAAGAATTATTGTAGAGTATAATGATGCATGTGTTCATAAAAAATTTACAACTGTGTCACATTTTGGATTTTGTAGTCAATATAATACTTTCTAGTTGTACTTGAATGTCAAAATATTCCCAATTGGAGCTCACTATATTAATAAATATAAACTTGGAAATACCAGCATTTAAGTGTAACACAAATGTTCAAAAAAAAATAAACATTTTACACTAACCTTTCAGTTGTTTTGCCATATGTGTCCCCAATAAACATATAATTGGTTGCTTAGACAATTACTTATGCAATGCCATAAACTGACACTATTAAAACTATTTTCACTCAGTTAAAAACTTGCTGTGTATTGCATTGTAATTTTCACTGACAATGAGAAATCAACATATTTTATAATAATTATTTATACCATTAAAATTTTAAATGACAACATTTAGCATGCTTAAATCTGATTGTTATAGCTGTCATCCACAAAGAGTTGACATTAGAGTTAAGATATTAAAAAGCAAGCTGCACAAAATACCTAAGATATTTTAACATTCAGAATATAAAACAAACTCTCAGTATTATAATAATGTAACTTTATGTTTTACATTATATGTTACAATGTTTACTTGCTAATATGGTTGGACTAAAATTACAGAGACATGCACAATTTTTAATGTTATTCAAATGTCACATCTGCCTCACTAATAGGGGATCAGGTCTCTTTTGGGTAGGTTTCTTAACCATTTCAGGCTTATGACTCTGTTCTCCTGTTTAGCCAGGGTAGTTGACTGAAGCTTTCTCAATTGCTATTCACTTGACTGAAGGTGATAGCAAAAATATTTAGCAATCTTATTTTGTAATTATTTATTTTTGGACATTTGGCTCTCTATTCTCCCAGTGTACACACTTCACTAGGACAATTTAAAGGCATTTTCTAGTTATATCAAGTTGAAACTAGTTGTTCCACCTGGAACAAGTTGCCCCTTCTCTGCACAGACTTAAATTACCCTATCTATCCAATTAAATAGCTCCACACTTTCTTGCTTCAGGGGGATTTTTTTCTGTTAAAGAAAAACATTATTCATGACACTTCTTCAAAACGTAAGGCACTCTTTATCTGGGACTGCTGTGAGGGGTTTTGCAGTAGGGGGCACAGATTCAGCTCAACTCTAAATACAATAAGATAAAATTGAATTTTATAGTTAAAGGCTGGGCCATGGGGAAAAATTACTAAGAGGAAACATCAGGGGTCTGGGGAGATTCTGATTCAACCCGCCTAATAAGATTTTTGTTGAAGGTAGGTCAGGTTGAGAGGATGAGGATATTGATCTGATTTCGAGGGAGGGGGATTCTGGATAAACTGACTTAACAGGAGTTTTCTACAGTTGGGCTCTAGGGGGATATGCCCTAAGATGGGACCTAGCTGGGCTCTGAAGAGCCCGACTAAAGTTTGGTCAAGGAGAGAATCTTTATCATTTTCCAGGACACTGAATCTACACTTGTCATTTGGCTTCAAAAGCATACCTATTTATTTATATATATATATATATATATATATCTGCATATTATTGTAGTTCAAGTTAATTCCAAAGAGTCTCCTTATCCCCCAATTTGTTACATCTCTTGATCAAAATAGGTACTGGGTAAGTGTGAAGGAGCGATTTTACTCAATATTTCACTTTTTTTTTTTAAGTTGCTAGACATACATGCAAATATCTTTTCAAGTCAGTGTGTCTCACACTCTAATGTATATTTGATGAACCTGGTGAGATTGCTGGAAAGGCAGATAGATACTCAGGCACCACCCTAAACTAACTGAATCTAAATTTATATTTTAACCAGATCCACAGGTGATTTGTATGCACATTAAATTTTGAAAATCGCTGTTTTTTAGGGTATTTTTGTCTACAGAAACAAATACAGAAAATTTGAGCATGTACCATGGTTTTTCACAAATAGACCTACAGAATTAGATATGTATCGTATTCATTTTCTAGATGACCCTTTCTTACTGATTACTGGATTACCTTTAATTTCTTTAAGTTCTGAGACAATTATTATGTTGCATAAAATCTAAGGAAGAGCGTTTACCGGTATAATAAATTAGAAATTCCAATACATTTTATTTCCAAATTAAATATGTAGAATTTTATGGTGCTGCATCACAAGTTGATATAATTACAATCTCTTGCAGACATGGTTATGAGCGCACTTTAAGATAGTCAGACCTATTTGTTAACAGAAAGAAACAAGAAGATGTTGGAATTTCCCTTTATCCAAAGTCCTACAGGAAACAGAATATGCTCTCTTTAGCTGTCTAGAAGGAAACACCATAACTTGTTATTCTGAAAACCAGTGGTATAAATTCATCCAGTTCTTTAACATTATTACATTACACAATTACCAGGATTTGTGTTTGATGTCAATAAACTTAATGAGACACAATCTTCCCCTCAAGAATTTTAGCTATTTGTGAAGCCAGACAAGCAACCAAAAGACTTCAGAGAGCTAGATGTTACTGAAGAAACAGAAAATGCTAGTTAAACAATATCTAGGCTGGGCGCGGTGGCTCATGCCTGTAATCCCAGCACTTTGGGAGGCCGAGACGGGCGGATCACAAGGTCAGGAGATCGAGACCGTCCTGGCTAACACGGTGAAACCCCGTCTCTACTAAAAATACAAAAAATTAGCCGGCCTGGTGGCGGGCGCCTGTAGTCCCAGCTATTCGGAAGGCTGAGGCAGGAGAATGGCGTGAACCCAGGAGGCAGATCTTGCAGTGAGCCGAGATTGCTGCCACTGCACTCCAGCCTGGGCAACAGAGCGAGACTCCAACTCAAAAAAAAAAAAAAAAAAAAGAATACCTAGTGCAAGGAATGCATATCCAGGTGAGGGAACACATCTAAAATTATACTGCATGCAAAGACCATATTCATGAGCAAGATATAATCGGAAATGAAGCTTGTGGGAAGCAGGTGGGAGGAGAGCAGATTGTATTTTGTCTTTTTTCCATGCTAAATAACTGCCCTAATTAAAGAACAAAACCATTTTTATTTCACTCAGAAACCCTGTGTTACTGAATTTTGAACTAGGAAGTTCCCGGTTTCTATTCTCTTTGCCATTATATAGCCTATGTCATTTAGTAAAGAATAAATAATTCTTTTGGCAGGGGCTGAAAGTATCTCTTTGCTAGTTTGTAACCCCCAGTAATAAGCTTCTGAATTCCTTTACTGAGGCTAACACTAGAGAGTTAGGTGAATTCAAATCCCTGTTTTGCCCTGGTCTGTGGAGTCAGCTGTCCCGAGAAGGAGTTGGCTCATCTACTCTTCTGTCACTCCCGCCTGCTATTCCTCTCCTTCTCTCTATTGTTGGATAAATATAGGTACCTAAACTATTCCCATTTCATTTCCTATTTCTGTGCCAATGTGTTTATATGTTTATATACATTGTTGGAATAAGCCAATTTGTGTGATGAGTGGTAGGGCACACTGGCCTTCTTTTGCCAAGATTTGTCAAAAAGAACACGTAGGCAGTGGAAGTAGCAGAAAAACAAATAGTTAAAAAAAAATAAGGGTTCAGTTTCAGCTTGAAAACTTATCAGCTATATGACACTATGCAAAATGTCTAGAGCTTCTCAGCCATATTGTCTTCATTTGAAAATGGTGAAGAGTGGGACCTGCCTCCTAAGATTGTTTTCAAGAACTCTATTACATTATGTAGTTGAAAAATTAGTGACAGGTAAATGTTGTAGACAGTTGAAAAGTAACCCTATTCCCTGTTTAGTACTAGCAATTTGGAAATCGATTTGGTCAAAGAAATTTACTTAAAGAGAAAAGAAATTGTTATTAAATATTTTGCCTCCATCCTACAAATTTGGCATTGGGGTCTGAAAACTTTGTCCATGTGATTGTAGAGTGAGATACCAGGTGCAGGACCTCAGACAAGTTGCTTCATCCATTGAAGTCACAATTTTATTCTTTATAAAATGTAGACAACAAGCACTTTCTTGATAGAGTTTTTCAGAGAATTAAATAATAATTATGTAAAGCACATAAGCAGTGTCTGTTAGTATTGAATATATAGTAAGATTAGCTAAAAAAAAGAAAGTTGACAGGAAACTATTTTTGAGTATTTGTTCATCAAAAGGGGATTACTTGTGAAATGAGAAAACAAGCTTAACATACTCCAGTAGACAGTCAAAGCTATAGAAATGTTGGTGAGACGCCATTAAGACACAATATAAGGTTTTTGAGAGCTGGGTTGTTCATATTCTTCTTTTTATCTTTGTAATTCCTTATCACTAAGCAAGGTAAAAATACCCTACATATTAGGGTATATAGTTTTAAATAAATTTGGTTTTTAATTAATTAATGAAAAAAAAATAACCTGGGTGGACCTCGCAGTTAATCCCTTGACAGAGCACACATTTTCATTGGGGTAAAGTCTCCCTGGTACTACATCAAACCAGTTATCTTCTACGTTGTGCTGTGTTCAAGGTAAAAAGTACTGAAACACAAGTTAAAAAAATGAGAGAGAAAAGAAATGTGAATAAAAAATGACAACAATAGCACCTTTTTTCTGATATATGCTTCTGTGACTGCACAGAGGTGGTTAAAGATGTGATGCAGGAACCGGAATTACATTAATTAATGTGCCAAGCACTATCACAGAGTCAGATTTATAATGATCTATACTTTCTTATTTCTGAGGCAAAGTGTTTGACACAGAGTAGAAGCAAAGGTGATTTGTTGCACTAACCTTCAACATGTATAAATAACTGGCAAGGATGACTTATTGCTAAAATAAATCCTAATATGATTAAATATTTGCTCTAATTGCACAAGTTTCAGTCTTACTGACCACACAGACAAAGTGCAACCTAAAATTTGTGAGTAATGTACAAGCCCCTGGAGGGTCATTTACAAAGTCTCTGCAAGATCACATTCTTCCACCAAAAGGATAATATCAAATCTATGTTTAAGAATATCTAAATGTATTTTCAAAATTTTTATTAAAAACAGAAATATAATATTTTAAAGGAAAGGCATATAAACCTTGATAAGTCATTTTTATTTATTTATTTATTTATTTAATATGTTGGTATTATTACATGAAAGGACATGGAATTTTAGTTCAATAGCTATTGATAATTGCCACATTCCTAGTATTGTAAGCATTATTTCAAGAAAACAAATAAATCTGTGGTCTTCAGAAATAGTCATATTCTCAAGACACATGCTCTTCTTCTAGGGAAAAAAAAATACCCTTCTCCAACTGTTTCGTCATCATACTAATCAATTAATAACTAAAAAGCAGGAAATATACCTTTAGTAATTAAAGAAATAATCACAATGAATGTGCTAACAATGTATATTAGTTATTCATTATGAGAAAGGTATGTTATCAAGTTAGATCCATTTTTGAATAGGAAATTCTACTTGAGGATAAAATCAAACAGAGGTATGAAAAAACATGTGTAATTAAGTAGATTAGACCTTAATATTTTTAAAAAATGGTGAGATTCGACTAGTGTGTACAAAATTAGTTTAATATCCTAGGTTAAAAAAATTCCACAAAAATGGAAAGCAACTATTTAAAAGAAGATGTCATCTGAGTATGATTCCAAAATCCTAAAGTGAAACATTCTTTTGAAGAAGAAAGCATGTAGCTGAATGCATCCTGTATTAAATTTGCATTAAAAGTATAACCTGTTGAAACAAGTTGTAACATAAAGCTACTATAACATGGACCTGTTCCAAGTACTCTTTATAAGTGAGAAATTTTAAGTAGTTTCTTTGAGTTGCAGTATATTGGTATAGAAAACTGAGAAATAGTGAGAAAGGGAAGTAATATCAGAAAGGATTTGGCCCCAGTTCCAAATTTTGAATTTGAAATCCAATGGTTATGACGTTACCTTTCAATGAAGTTTCAAAGAAATTTACCTTCTAGGATATCACATCCTATAAAGGTGTTGATTATTATAAATAATACCTACTGTAGTGCTCTTTAAAACACATCTATGAAAATTTGAAATTCAAGAATCTTACCTTATTTTTCACCAGTACGGTCCAAAGTCATCTGCTTTGGATGAAATAAACAAACAAAAAAGCTATTCAATTCTACTTTACCCAAAATGAAAGAAGTATCCTTCCCAACATGTATATATAGACTTACTCTGCCTCACTCTCTCAGTCAAGCGCCAAGTCCAGTAAGTGAGAATTCTGTGGGAATATGGAGAGTTTTGCAACGTTGAGGGTTTAAAGATAGTGCTACCAAAGACTGTTCACTTTCAGTGTACTGTATTATAGACAGAAAGAGCACTTGAAAAAAAAGTTCAGAACTATTATAAAATTATATAATTTCATTACAAAAATCTTCATCTTTATGAACTTTCATATTATAGCATAAATAATTTAGAAACTTTTTTTCTTATTTGTTTAAAATAATAGAAATAAAAGTTTCTGGTGGTTTTAAGGCCATATCTTAAAAATATATTTTTTGAAAAATACCTTTCAAGTACTCTTCTAAATAACTATCAGAGACACGGACAATTTTTTTTCTTTCCATAGTTAATAAAATAACTGTCTATGTTGATTTTAATATATTGACCATTTTTTGCCCATTAGTCACTACAATTTTCAACTATGATAGCCAATGAAATTTTTTAAAAGTGGAATATTTACCCAAAAGTCATTTATTACCCTTTTTTCCCCCATTTTCTTCCTCTGTTATTACAGATTAAGCCTAAATATCTTTTCAGACTAATTTGTATCTCAGGGTTGACTTGTGACCCTGTTCTAGCCATTGAAATACAATGAGTAGCTGTGTTAGAAAATATTGTAAGGAAATTTCTCTTCAGTTTTTTTTTGCCTTTTATGCTCCCTTATTTTGATTTTATCTTCTTGTCTGTGTAACAAATATAAGGTGAAATATGTGGCAGCGATCATGTGAGCATGAAGATGAAAGTCACATGTTGGAAACAACAGAAGAGGACTGAAGGACAGTGATATTTTTAAACTTTGTTGAACACAGGCAATAGCTCTGAACGTCCTCTCTTTGTAATTCTTAGGATAAGAGAAAATTGAATTCTTATGTGTTAAAGGCACTGTTCTTTATTACTTAAAACCTAACATGTTTCTAAAGGATACCTTAAGTTTGGATGTAAATTAGAATAAGAACAAGATAATTCTTATTCTTAAAACCTTTCAACAACTTTTCTATTACAGTTAATTCTGTATTCCAATGATATGTCATCTCTGCTACAGTTTGCAATCTTCAATACAAGGAGTAACATCATTCATTCACCATGTATACCTGGGTCCATTACTCTGCCTAGCAGGCAGTCGGTATTTAAAAATATCAGAAGCATAGCTGAATACATGAATTCATTTATTTATGCAACAGGAAATTACCGAACACATTTCGTGATAAAGGAGATTTCAATGCAACTGGAGTAACAAGGATGAAAAGACAGTGTCCTAACCTCTAGGAATACACAGTTCAGTCACAAGGGCAAAAATCAGTGCATGATGTGTTGAGTACCATACAAATTTATTGACAAGTAAACAATATGTCAAGCTGAAGGAACTCACATTACTGAAGACTGATTTGGGCTGAATCTGAAGGAAGAATAGGAGTTTACCAGGCGGACCAGAAAAGGCCATCCTAGGAAAGAAGAACAACACATGATAATAGAGTGGATCAGAACCTGGCCCTTTGTGGGTACTTAATAAACATCTGTTGTACCGAATTGAACTACATTATTTTTACCAAGATAGACTGTTGGGCTCAGGGGAAGTTCTTGGATCAGAATACAAAAATGTGTGTTTTGGCAAAGTGAAAACCTAAAGTAACATTTTTTTACTATGCCAAAATTTTAGGTTTAGAAACAGGGTATTTAAAAATATTTCACAGGAGTTTCAAGACTTTGGCTAATCTAATTCAATATGCTCTTGGTGTTAGAGCATAAAAAGATATCCAAAAAGGAATGAAATACCAAGGCATGGAATTTTATGGCCTGAATGTGAGGTCTTTTGCTGGATTCCCACAGTACCCTGATGGTCTGTTCATTCATATATTTAGTCTATTTTTCTATGTCATTCAAGTTGGATAATTTCTATTATTCCATTTTCAAGTTGACTGATTTTTTTGCCCTGTTTCCTCTATTCTGCTGTTGAGTCCATTCCTAGATTTTTTAAAATTTTGATTATTGTATGTTTCAGTTTCAAAATTTCCACTTGTTTCACCTTCATGTTTTCTTTTTACTGGGGCTAGTTTTGCAATTGTTTCAAATCTGTTCATAATTACTCACTTCATCAGTTTTATCATGATTGTTTTACATTTTGCTTCAGATAACTTTAGCTTCTCTGTTATCTCAGTATTGACATCCATAGACTGTCTTTTTGTATATTCAGTTTGAGATCTTGCAGGTTCTGGGAATGACAGAAATGATTGATTAAAACCTGGATATTTACATATTTAAAATATGATCTTATTTAAATTTTCTGTCTTAAGTGGCTCTCTTGACAACACTCTGGCAGGGGAAGGACAGGCAGAGGTACCCACTTCTCTGACAGGTAGAGGTAAAAGTCCAGGTTCTCCACTTATCCTCCTTTGATAACTGAGGGAAGGATTGCTTTTGGGGGAACTCAGAGCATTCTAGCCTCCCATGTGGTTTTCTGTAACATTGCACTGGGGGTGACCTGTCTGTCACTAGAAGATCACAAAAGTCCTGATTCCAGTTCTTTATTCTAGTAAAATACTTTAAAAAGTTTATTCTGAACCAAATGTGAGTGATCACGGCCCAAAGCACAACCTCAGTAGGCCCTGAGAACATGTGCCCAACGTGGTTGGGTTACAACTTGATTTTATACATTTTAGGGGGACAGAAATTACAGGTGGTCATCAATTGATATATGTTAGGTGCACATTGGTTTGGCCTGAAGAGGCAGGAAAATTCAGAGTTGAGGGACTTCCAGGTTAGAGGTGGATTCAAAAATTTCTGATTGGCAATTGGTTGATAGAGTGAAGTTACTATCTAAATATCTGGAATCGATAGAAAGGAGTTTCTGGGTTAAGGTAAAGGGCTCTGGAGACCCAGGTTCTTATTGTGTAGATGAAGCCTTCAGGTAGCTGGCTTCAGAGAGAATAGACAATAAATGTCTCTTATCAGACTCTAAAAGGTGCAAGCCAGTTAAATCTCTCCTGTGTCACAAAAAGACCTGGAAAGAGAGGAGGATTCTCTGCAGAATATAGATTTTCTCCAGAAGTGGCAGCTTTGCAGGGCCATTTCAAATATATCAATGAAATATATTTTGGGGTGAATACTTTGATTTCTTTTAGGGCTGGCTATCTGCCATGTGATGCTATATTAGAGTCGGTTAGAGTTAGGTATTTTATTGTGGTAAAGAGTCTTTTTGTCACTCTTAAGATCTCTGTTTTAATGTAATGCTGGTCAGTTGTGCCTTAATTCCAAAGGGAGTCGGGTATAATGAGACATGTCTGACACCCCTCTTCCCATCATGGATGCACTAGTTTTTCAGGTTTACTTTGGAATGGCCTTGACTGAGAGGAGGGGTCCATTCAGTCAACTGACAGGCTTAGAATTCTGTTTTTAGTTTACAGATATCAGAGGGTGTGAGTACCTGTTGACCCCTGGCAGGTATAAAAACCTCAGATCCCTATGCACTTTGTCTAACACCACTGTGGTGGGATGTTGAGGTTACTCATTACAGCCTAGGAAATCTGGGTTTCCCACTAGACTTTTGCTGATGTGGGTGGGTGAGAAACCAGTTTTGTTGTTGTTTTCCTGTGTTTTCAGGCAGGCAAAGAGCAGTAATTTTCTGAAGGTTTTCTGTCTTGCTAAGTTGTTCTTTTTCCTGGTCCTTTGTCTAGAGATAGCAGGCTTTTGTTGGGGCTTTTGTTGGGGCTTTTGTTGTGCAGACCTATGGGCAGTTTGGGGTGGTCAGTTTGTTCAGCTTCAAGTTCAGAATTTATGAAGCTAAAAGAAAATTGAGAGAACACACTATCATGTCATTCCTTGGGTCCCAAAGTCCCTAAATGATCTTCCTTTCTCTATTTGCCTTTTAGAGTCCACTTACGCTTGACTTATATGTGATTTCCAGGGCTTTTAGTTGCACTTAGTGCAAGGAATAGAGACAGATATACTTACTCCATCTTCTTTGACATGTAAGTGACATGTGAGTTTTAAGAATAGCTTTCTTATATAACACAATTCATACAAATTATAAAATATATTGTCTACATGTAACAAACAGTGTTCTAAACTTATTAAGTACTTTTAGAAAGTTTTGTAATAATAAAATTAGTCAAATTTCAGTCATATAGTGATTGTAATTAGTCTTCATATAAAAGTTGCTTAATTTTACTAGATGTCAATATTTTTAAAATTTTGTTTTTATATTTATATTTATTAATCTTATTTAGTAATATTGAAAACAGTTTACCAATTATTTTGGAGTTATACTTTTATAGAAATTTATAGAAATGATGATATTGTGTACTATTGTGTGGTTTTTGTTTTTTCAGTTGCTCAATAGATTTATAACCAGTTTTTTGGAATTAAGATGTATTAGTCCATTCTCATGCTGTTATAAGAACTACCAAAGACTAAGTAATTTATAAAGAAAAAGAAGTTTAATGGACTCACCATTCTACATAGCTGGGGAGGTCTCACAATCATTGCAGAAGGCCAAGGAGGAACAAAGGCATGTCTTACATGGCAGTAGGCAAGAGAGCATGTGCAGGGGAACGTCCCTTTATACAACCATCACATCTCATGAGACTTATTCACTGTCATGAGAACACCATGGGAAAAATCTGCCCCCATAATTCCATTACTTCCCACCGGGTCCCTCCCATGACATGGGGATTATGGGAGCTAAAACTCAAGATGAGATTTGGGTGGGGACACAGGCAAACCATATCATAAGGTAAGAGTGAAGATCAAAAATTATTTCCTAAATAAAATAACTATAAAATATAATTAAATGTTAATGCTATCAGCAAGTTTTTTAATAAAATTCACTACCATTAAATTTTATATATCTCTAAGAAAATATAGTTGTAGGTCACCATTAAAAATAGACATAACTGCAACTTTCTTTGAAAGAAAGAAAGAAAAAGAAAGGCAGAGAGAGAATGATGGAAAAGGGAAGAAAGAGACAGGAAAAAAAAGACAAGAAAAAGGAAGGTACCATTTGTTTTCCTATTCTTTTGCTTTTTTGTAGTTTATAGGTCAAGTCAAATCTTGACTACAATGTCATTACTACAGTTACAACTCTAGAGCCTATCTTTATTGCAGGTAGGAACGTTAATTGGAAATGTCCTTTCAGAGAAAAGCATAACTTAAAAATAGTGTTTTTCTTATTTTACCGGGAGTTACATGCCAGTATTTATGGCTCATCTTTTTAGTAGAAATCAGAAAAATGTACCATACACAACTTGCACTGAGAAAAAACTCCTTTTTTTACGTAAAACAGGAAGATGTTTTTATTCTTTTAATTTCTAAATAATTAAATATCTACTCATCTAGGTTAATTTATTGTCATATAAAAATAGTCTGTGATGACAGAAATCAGAACAGCAAGCTCATTAGCATGAAAGGTCTTTGCATCCACCATGTACTGTCAGGGCTTCAGAATCATTGAAATAGGAGGAGGGAATTACCCTCCAGCATTGCCTTTACACTTGCCAGGCCTGGAAATCAGATCTTAAGTGCCCGCATACTCTCTGACGTGGTGATTTATTGAAGGTTGGCTTGCAGAAAAAAGACATCACCGAGCTATGTGTTAGGAGTTCATGAAATAGCTTCACTTCTTATGTCTTTTATACAACCTGCTAGCACATTTTAAATGCTCCTCAAGAGACAGATTAAAATAAAAAAAAGATAAACTCAGCCTTTGGCATAAACTATATTTCGTAGTTTTATAAACTATACATATAATTATGTAAATATGCTACATAACATATATTTATTATATAGGTAAACACACACACACAGACACACACACACCCCCCTCATCATATTTCAGTAGTTTCCCGTTATCAAAGTTCCAAAGACAATCAGGCTTGCTTTTGACTCTAAATAATTTCATGATGTCTAAACTATAATTAATTAAAGCAGTAAATCTTAAGAGATACCAGCCGGAGTAAAGTATGCAGAAAAAATCAGTTGAAATAACCATCTTCCGACTCTGCTTTTAAATTAAAAAATAAAAGACAATTAGGTCTGAACAGAGATAAGCATAAAAGGGACCCATTTCTTTGTTTCTGATAGCCCCTGAAGCACCATCACATAATAAAAATGACAAATGACAACACAGAAAACAGCAGGAAGTGAGTCTCATTTGTGAGACTGAAGGAAACCTATGGATCAACTATAGAAATGAAGCTGCTAAAACAGGACAGTACAGTCTATCCTGCCTACCTCCCCCCTTGCCCAAATATCAAATAGATTATTGAATTGCATGAATTCAAAGTAAAACCTATCATAAAGTATTTTTATCTGACAGAGTGGGTTTTTTGCATATATATTAGTATTACGAATTTAAAAAAACTACATTAATGACAATTATTAGTTCCTAATTATTAGTTCTAGGCTATTAGATAGCCTAGAGCAATACATGTCAAACTTCTGTTCCAACATCACACGTTTGATGTCGTGACTCTGACTAAATATGTATTATTTTGTTTTGTTTTGTTTTAGGCAAGGGATCTCACTCTGTTTTCCAACTGGAGTACAGAGGTGTGATCATAGCTCACTGCAGCCTCAAACTCCTGGGCTAAAGCTATCCTGCCACCTCCGCCTCCCAAGTAGCTGGCACTACAGGCACACTCTACCATGTCCAACTAATTAAAATATACATATATATACATATAAATATATATATATATTTTTTTGAGACGGAGTCTCGCTGTCACCCAGGTTGGAGTGCAGTAAAAAATATATATTTTTAGAGATTGGGATCTCACTGTGTTGCCCAGGCTGATCATGATCATCTGGCCTCAAGCAATCCTCCTGCCTCTGCCTTCTGAATCACTGGGATGATAGGTGTGAGCCACTGCATCTGGGTGAATCTGTCTTTATGAAAAATATTTATATTTCTTTCATGATGGAATTTTTTCAATGTAGATTTTAAAATACATTAATATAATTTATGTTGACTACTAAGTCTTTTGATCTCCTGCCTTAAATTTTGCACTTGATATGACTGCCTCAGTCACCTTAAACATGCTAATTATTTTCATTGATGGATAGAGTGTTTGGCTGAGACACATCTTTCCTTTCTCCTTTAAGGCGTGATTCTACCAGTGCATTTGGGGTAGAAGAAGAGAGATATTGGAGACAAAATAATCCCTTACATCACTGATCTTTTGTATACTTCTCTTGATGTTAGCTGTCAAAACTCTTTGGCCAATATTCATTCTCTTTTCCATGACACGCCAAATGCTGATTGTCCTGTAGGGTGTGTGTGTAAGTTTCTTAGACGTAACTACTTGGAATCTAAGTCACCAGTTCTTATTATTGCAGATCTCACTGTGCTTCAACTTCTCACACTCCTGTTCTCCTTGATGTAATTCTGCCCTTCAAATATGCCCAATTGTGTGTTTTCATTGGGGTCCATTCATCAGCTCCCCTACCAGGTATAAACTTGACCCATGAGAAAAAAAAAATTCCCTAAATTTAATTATACACATAATATTTTCTTTTGAGGTTATACGAAGTGATGTTACAACTTATGAATACAATATGGAATAATTAAATAAAGCTAATTAACATATTCATCACCTCAAATAATTAATATTTTTATTGTCAGAACATTTGAAATTTATTCTTAGCAATTTTGAAATACACAGCAATTTTGAGATACACAAACTATATTATTAGCTGTATTCACCATACTGGGTAATAGAAATCTAATTTAAAAAAATGTATTCCTCCTGTTCACCTGATATTTTGTACACTTTGATCATAATCTCCCCATTCGCCTCAATGCCCAGCCTCTGTAACCTCCATTCTACCATCTGCTTCTGTGAGTTTGATTGTTACAAATTTTACATGTAAGCAAGAACATGCAGTATTTTTCTTTCTTTGCCTGGCTTATTTCATGTAGCATGTTTCCAATTCTATCTATGTCACAAATGACAGAATTGTATTATTTTGTAAGGCTGAACAGTATTCTATTGTAAATATACATATGAATATTTTAAGTATTCAATATACCAGTGATTGTGCTAGACATTTTTTAAAGAAATATTCCAATTTAAAGGTGAGAACTTGATACCCTTAAAAAGGAGAATGTAAAAAAGGTTTAGGCTGATAGTGAAAAGAAATTTTGAATAAATTATTTAATATTTACTATTTTAAATTTAATAAATAAAACAATCATTTCTGCTATCTGGCATAACATTGAACTCTTTCCATTACATAATTTGCCTACTCTGGACATTAGCAAAAATGACCTATGAATGTGAGTTTCTTATTTCATTTTTTGAAAACTAGTTACTTTTCATTTTTCGGTTCCCAAAACACCACATAGAAGTTTCTAAGAATTTTTGATTAAGATTAATATGTTAATGATTGTTTTAGCAATAAAAAGTAAAATCTAACATAGCATATGTTAATTGCATTTTATGATTGGCCTTTCTGAGTGCATTATCTCAACCACACTTCACAACAATCTATTGAAGTAGTTATTATTATTGTTTTACAGACACTTTTGAAGTGCTGAGAAGTGAAATCATTTCCTCAAGGTGGCACAGTTCATAGGTGTTCAACTTTTGATCGATTCTGATTCTTTCTTGAGTGTTTTAATTGTAACAATCTCTGAAGAATATTATGTGGGGAACTTTATGAAGACTAATTATTTTCAAATTGGTTTTCTACCTATTTGTCTTTCTCTGATGATGCTTGCAATTACAGGTGTGATTTTTCATAACTTTAAAGGCTTCTGACAGTAGCAAAATTATATATAAAAGTCCATCTGAAGCAAAATAGGCATCTGTAAGTCTCTGACATTGCTTTGTATTCTCAAGGTAACTAAGTGGAAATGCTACTGCAGAGGGCCAATTTGAAGCATGCAAGTACAGCATATTGTCAGACTTTCTTTTTTCCTGCTTACCTCCTTCAGGCCCTCAAGAAGCAAAGTTTGGGGTTGAAGGATGAGCCTCAGCAGATCCACTTATTTGATTAGTGTCTTGCCTACTCAGCTTTTCCTCAGGTTCATTGATGAAGATGATTGCATTCTCTGTCCTTTGCTAGGCCAGCCAGACAGAGGAAAGGGATCATTTGCTGAGATGCGAGTCCTTCGGGCGGGTCCATGTCTTTGACTGCACAGTTGACTGGCTAGTTCACTACAGTGTTCAGTATTAAAAATAATAAAATGAGTCAAATGGCCCCTCTGTTAGAAGAAAATTCTACTCATCTCTGATTCTCAGCCAGTAAAGTTGGACTTCGACGTAGCTAGTGAACTGTATTGATGGTGGAATAGTCTCCCCAAAGATGAGATATATGATCCATAGCTTGAAGAATTTTAAAGTGAAATAAACACTGCCTGACAAAGGAGGAAATAACGAAATCTTGTGCTGTCTGAGGATCGCCAAATGTGGGTTTGTGGCTTGGCTTTTATTGTCGCTAATTCAATTCTGTTGTATTTAAACTGTTAACGGGAGCACAGATTTGTATTTTTTTAGCATTTGGAGGAAAAATATCAACTTTAGTTACAGTACAGTAGAATCATTTTGAAAATGTTATGTATCTCACACTGAAATATATAAGTCAAATGCTTACAAGGTTTAAATGTGTTGGTAAAATAAAGACTCAGTTCACTTGACAGCAACTGTTGACATATGAGATGTTAATTTCCGCAGTGGAAACCTAAGGCATATTCTGAGTTTCTGCAGAGACATAGCAATGCCTAAAGGCTCTCAGCAGGCAGGCTAGACATATATATACAGGTATATATATATATATATATATATATATATATATATATATATATATGCAGAGATTTTCTGTTATGTTTACAGTATAACAAAACAAGAAAGTCACTAATTCATTTTGGTTATTACAAGTGAAAATTTGCACTTAATGGACCAGCTAATGAAATCAGTAAAATTTCAATGAAGAAATACTGTATGCTAACAAGAATAGTAATTAGTTTTACTACAACAACATATTAACTTTCTTTTTCACATTTCCTTAGTAAAAGGTATCATCCTGAAAATATAGTATTAACATTTCCACCTAAAACCTAATTAAAAATGCCCACAATATATTTTTCTCGATCTTCTACTTTCTATAGTAAAATACACATATAATTAGGATCACAAAGTTATAATTCATGACAATGTAATGAAGCTTATATTTTGCTACATAAATACTTCCCAAGCACATTAATGCTATAACTAACATTTCTTATGGGATCTAATTTGAAAAAGAAAAGGCAGTATTTTTAAGGTATTTATTGCAAATGAACAAATAAATTTTGAACTACAAATATTCCTTTGTCTTTAATTTCAGTAAGATTTTTACATTATGTCTTGGAGATATTGCAGTTTTAGTTCCAGATCACCAGAATAAAGTGAATATTGAAATAAATCAAGTCACACAATTTTGTTTGGTTTCTTGGTTCATATAAAAGTTGTTTTCACTACACTATAGTTGATTAAGAGTACTATAGCATTATGTGAAAAAAACAATGTACATACCTTAATTAAAAAATACTTTATTGCTAAAAATGCTAATAATTATCTGAGCTATCAGTTAGTTATAATCTCTTTGCTGGAGGAAGGTCTTGCCTCAATGTTGATGGCCACTGACTGATCAGGGTAGAGGTTCCTGAAGGCTGAGAGGGCTGTGGCGACTTCTTAAAATAAGACAACAATAAAGTTTGCCTCATCAATTGACTCTTCCTTTCATGAAATATTTCTCTGTAGCATGTGATACCATTTGATAGCATTTTTCTCACGGTAGATCTCGGAGTAAATCCTCTCAAGCCCTGCCACTGCTTTATCAACTAAGTATATATAATATTCTAAATCCCTTGCTTTCATTTCAACAGCATTCACAGCATCTTTGCCAGGAGTAGATTCATCTCAAAAAAACACTTTCTTTTTCATCCATTAGAAGCAACTCTTCATCTGCTGAAATTTTGTCATGAGATTGCAACAATTCAGTCACATCTTCAGGCTCCATTTCTAATTCTAGTTCTCTTCCTATTTCCACCATGTATTAGTCTGTTCTCACTCTACTGAAAAAGATATACAGAAGACTGAGCAACTTACAAAAGAAAGAGGTTTAATGGACTTACACTTCCAAGTTGCTGGGAAAGCCTCTCAGTCATGGTGGAAGGCAAGGACGAACAAGTCACGTCTTAAATGGATGGCAGCAGGCAAAGGGAGAGAGCTTATGCAGAGAAACTCCACCTTATAAAGCCATCAGATCTCGTGAGACTTGTGCACTATCAGGAGAGCATCATGGGAAAGACCTGCCCCCGTGATTCAATTACCTCCCACCAGTCCCTCCCACAACATGTGGGAATTCAAGATGAGATTTGGGTGGGGACACAGCCAAACCATATCACACCCACCACATCTTCAGTGACTTCTTCCACTGAAGTTTTGAATCCTTCAAAGTCATCTACAAGTTTTGGAATCAACTCTTTTCAAACTCCTGTTAATGTTGACATTCTGGGCTTCTCTTATGAATCATATATGTTCTTAATGGCATCTAGAATGGTGAATCCATTTCAGAAGATTTTCAACTTACTTTGCCAGGCCCTATCAGAGGAATCACTCTCCCTGGCAGCCTTGTAAACTGTATTTCAAATTAGTTTCTTATATTAGTCAAATTTGAGAATCTTTGCTCTCCATAACATAGACTATTTGATTTTCCTCATACATCTCTGATTCTTTCTTTATTATTATTATGTTTTCAATCTCTGTTATCCCTTTCTGACTTGGACTGCCTAGTAAGTTCCCAGTTTTCCTTTTGGGTACAGCACTTACGTGAGTCACACCAGTCATTAACATTTACCCCTGTGTGTGGGTAGGGGTGGGGACTGTGTGCATGCATACACTTTACTTTCCACTCTATGTTCCTATAGCATATTTTAACTTCAGTATCACCTACCAAACTCTACTATTATTGTGCTAATTCATTTACACGTCTTCTTACATTAAGATTTTCTTAGTACATTACCACATCTGACTCTGCTCTGTATCCTCCCTTACCATCCTAGTACTCAGCTCAGAGTATCTTTCATTGATTGTGAGTTGAACAGAATAAACTAACAATCATCATTATGTTGTTTTAAGAGAAAATTTTGTAGAATGGCATATTTTTTTTAATTTTAATATGTTAAGAAATGTTTAGAAACTTATCTTTTGAAAATACAGGAAAGACAGACTCCTCTTCAGGGTGCATGGCACATTTCATTTTAAATAAACCTAAGTTTCTACTAAGAAGCTAATACCTTCTTATACGCAAGTATTATGAGTCAAACAAAAATATATTTCTTTAAACCTTCTTTATACTCTGCATTATAATTTTGGAATGGTTTGTTATCAATATCTGTTCTAGTAACAGGAAATACAATACTTGTTTTATAGATAGCTTAGTGATTCCAGTTTTCTAACTGCAATTAGCTCATTTCCCAAGTGGCAGAACGCTATTTTAAAGTAAATTCCCATTCCTACTAATGAAGTCAACTCTATTCACACAGTAAGGCAACCAATAGATGCATATTGATCTCCTACTATGTGTCAGGGAGTAAGACAACTGCCGTATTTTTTAAAAAGGAAAGTTATATTAGTTGTACCTCAGAAAGAAAAAGTAAAACCCTGCAATACGAGGTTACAAGAATGTGCACAGAACACAAGGACCAGAAATCAGTCCCAACATCCTCTGAATGGAGCATTTTGTTGTTGTTGTTTTGTTCATTTTTCATTTGTTTGTTTTAGTCTAAATTGGAGAAGAATATGGAGGAATTAAGTAAATCAAGAATAGCATTCAAGGCAGAAGGAGAATAAGTGCAAAAACACTAAAGAGGGAGAGAGGATGCTGTGCAAGAACTATGAATGGTCTCCAATCCATGTCTGAACTGGAAGGTACTCTTGCTGGGAAATAAAGTAATAACAAAGGATAATTTGTGTAGTAGCCTTGACAATGACCTCCACAAAAGGTATGAGTGCTCTAGTCCTTGGAAGCTGTGAATATTTTCTCATATGGGCAAGGAAAAGATCTTTGCAGATGTGATTCAAATGAAGGATTTTGATATGAGGAGATTATCTTGGGTTATCTGGTGGTCTCTAAACGTGATCACATATATCTTCATAAAAGGAAGGCAGAGGAAGATTTGACACACAGGCAGAAGAGGTGAAGGCAATGTAACTACTGAGGCAGAGACTGGAGTGATGCAACTACAAGCCAAGGAATGCTGGCAATTGCCAGAAGTTGATAGATGCAAAGAACGGTTCTTTAGAGCATCCAGAGAGATTAAAGTCCCACTATCACCCTGATTTCAGCCAAGTGGAACTGATTTGGGACTTCTGGTCTCCAGAAATCTGAAAGAATACATTTCTGTTATTTTAAAGCAACAAGCTTGTTCTCATTTGTTACAGTAGCCTTAGGAAACAAACAGTGGGTAAAAGCCAAGAAAGATAAACAAAAGGAAGAAGTGATGTTCAATGTACCTGTATGAAGTGTGCAAAAGTCTCATTACAATCTCTTGGTCTAATTAAAATAACCAGGATATCAATGGCTACAAATGGCATATGTTGGAATTCAAAAAAGAATAACATTCATTTAATATTGATTGTATATCTCCATTTTCACATTTTCCTACCTGTTTTGATTAACTGATTAGTTTATCCTAGCTTTTCCTTTAATTATTTTATGTGTAACAATACTGAAATAAATTTATCCTTATGCTTGCCACACTGTCTGCACATGAATTGTAAAAAAGAATGTACAAGAATATTTCATGTATTTATGTGTATAAATGCTTGATGGAATTATACATCATATTTGCTTAAAATAAATATTAATTAATAAAATCTCATATATTTGCTACTGTTCAATAAGCTGGGCCAAAATTTTCTAAACTAAATCAATGTAACATGTATATATATTTAAAATATGAGGTTTATATATACTTTAATATAAGATTCCACACATTGTTCAAATTTTCTTTTATAAACCAGTTCATACCTTAAATGCATCTATCAGGTATCACATCTAAATAATAACACAATTAGCTCATATAGTTAACAAATAATCAATTATTACTAATCATTTTGAGTGTCATTTTTGTAAATCCAAATTTTCACTTTTTAAAGTAGCACATTCAAATACATAAGTCTATAATTATAATTAGATCTATGAAATCATGAAGATGAGTGAACTCATTACATGAAATTGTTTTGAATCATAATTCTGGACCTGTCACTGTAAATACATTGTTCACTTAAAATAAATAATGATTTGCTTCCCATACAAAGGAAACATTTTAATCCAACCATCACCAGTGCGAACGATCCCAACAACTGGAATTTATTTTATTTCTATCTCACTGGATAAGTGAAATAGGAATGTTGATTTCTGGCTCCCATTTACAGGACAAGTGAACAATGTAAAAGGAGAATAAAGGACAGTATATATATGAATAAAAACGTCTGACACAAGTGTATCCTAAAGTTCATACAGGTTCAATCAAAATAATTCACTCAAGGGCATTGACAATTTGGATTCTGTGAATAAGAATGTACTGCCTACACCATAGACACCAATCACCCCTTTGAACCAAGAAAGGATATAAATCAGCAAGCAAAGAAAAGTTTTCAAAGCTTGTTTCCAACAGAACTTCAGCAACCCCACAGAGCTGTAATAATAAAAAGCATTACATGTATCAGCCTGCCCAGCAGCAGAAAGAAGAGGTATTTTTTTTCAACTCGGGCTTTGAGCTGACCTTGGGTGTAACAGGCAGTCACAGTGCCAGCTTCTACAAACTGCGGCATTGGTCATAAATCAGAAAACAGTCTCCCCCCGCATCCATGTCTTCAACTACAGCTGAGCACAGGCAGTTAAGAATGACAGTGTCATAGTTACATAGATAAAAAAGACACATCACCCAGACGTATGTGCGTGATGCATTTGTGTAATATTCCAAACAGTTATCATAGATATGAGCCCAACAAAATCTATAAATATTTAACCAACTGAAAATTGAGGGAAAAAAAGGGAGAAGTTAGTTTGAGGACTTGTTAAACTTTGTGCCTCTGATTTTTAGATTGAAGTCAATAGTAAGAAAAGCAAATTTCTACATTAGACTCTGGAAAGGTGGCAATGTAAGAAACATTGTCTTCAATATTTGATCACAAGAAGAGATATCTGCTATCTTGTATGCTTTATGTTTTACAACTTCAAATTTCCCAGTTGTTAGAAAAATTTCTACCTGGCAGATATTGAAATTGATCCATTGCTTTTACGTGGAGTCTCTACTGAAAACCACCAGTGGAACTTCCAGATGTATATTTAAGCCATCCTTACTTGCCGTATTTACAATTTTGATTACTAAACTAGCATTTTGCTGCATTTATTTGGAAAGGACACTGTACAAAAATGCACAAAAAAATGCAGATTGTCATGTAGATGTGTATTAAAAGTCTCTAAATATAATAAAATGGTGCTGATAATTAATTAAACTGTGAATCACAATTTGAGAGGGCAGACCAAGAGAAAATGATTATTTATTTTCTGCAGATAATTGGAACTTTAATATATCCAAGATAATCCTCATGACGAGTGATGCTTTCTATTAGGATCCTTTTGAGAAGGTATCATTTGAACCAGCTTCAGATTTGTTCAATATGCATACATGTGATTCCATTATGTTAATCTCAATTACTTTGAAATATTTTCTTTAAATTCTCATCATGGGCTCTTGTTGACTTCAGAAATATTCAGGCACTAGCATACTGATATTTTTTATATAATTCACATTTATTTAAAAAGTTTAAAATAATGATGTAATAAATTACCTTGCAAATTTTTGAATGTGTAAAATAAATTAATCAGCTTAATGTTAGTATGATGTAGTAAATAAAGCATTCCATTAGGAAGATAAAATTGGAATTCTAAGTATACCAATAAATTTAACTGTGCACTTTACTTTTTCTGGAACTTAGTATTTGTCTTGCAAAATGATCCCCTCTTACTCAATGATGCCTAAAACATCTTAAAACTCTAAAATTTGACTTTACCATTGTTTAAAGGGTATTTACTATAAGCATACCATCTTTGTCTCCCCCAGACTAATTATATCAAATAACAAGTTCACATTAAAAAGCTGGTTGGGACTGGGCACGGTGGCTCAAACCTGTAATCCCAGCACTTTGGGAGGCCAAGGCAGGCGGATCACAATTTCAGGAGTCTGAGACCAGCCTGGCCAACATGGCGAAACCATTTCTCTACTAAAAACATACAAAAATTTGCAGGACATCGTGGCATGTGCCTGTAATCCCAGCTACTCGGGAGGCTTAGGCAGGAGAATTGCCTGAGCCCGGGAGGTGGAGGTTGCAGTGAGCCAAGATCGCGCCACTGCACTCCAGCCTGGGCTGGGTTGAATTATCTCACAATAAAAACACTGAAGTTAGTCTTTAATGCAAAATAGGATTTGACCTTCCATAAACTTCTGAAGGATGGAAAACATAAGCTTATTTGTGAAGAAAGATTTTCTTGACTTATCCCAATGTAGCAGAAGAACTCGCCCTTGGATGACTTTATTTTTGCATGGCAATGAGTTTTGAAATACATATATTTTGTGACATACAGAAGTAGTATTACCACATAAAATTACTTAAAGGTATGGAGTGTGCATGTATCACACATATGTGTGTATATCTTTGGTTACATGAAGAGAGCTTGATTTCATAATTCTCATTAACAGTGCTTATAAAAAACAAAATGACTTTTAATTAAATATTTATTTACATATTTTTCTTTATACTGTGAATAAAACCTTTCTGTAAATTAATGTAATCCTAGAATTTATGCCAAAATAGGAAATACTTATAGCATAGACATAAAACAGCACAGGTGAAAGCCAGGCATTTTATTTGACAATTGTGTATCATTGAAGGTTAAAAATAAATTAAAATTAAAAATAAAATTATTTAATTTAAAAAATAAAGCTAAGAATAAAAGTATTAAAATTTAAAAAGCAGATTTTAAAACTTGAATGAAAGAAGCATAATGTTAATTTATATAAAGAGTAATTTGGACTATTTTTAGGAAGTCAAACAATAAATGATTTTTTAAACAAAACCCAAAAAGCAGAAAGGACAAAGTAAAATTAGTTAATTTGACTACACAAAAATTTGTAAGTTTTGTACGAAAATAAAGTGAAAAAAAGGCATATATCGTGGGAGAAGGGTATCTGCAGTACCTTTGACAAAAACAAGTGTAAAACAAGAACAGCAACAATAAAAACGGGTAAAAATAACCTGCTACAGTTTTACCTTTATAATTTGAGAAAAGTTTTTAAAAATCTGAAAATAAGAAGTAGACGTGTAGAAGAATAGAAACTATAAGGTGCTTGGTAAGGGTGTGATTAAGAATATCAACTAAGAAAATAATTTATCAAAATCTGGTAGTAATAAAAATAGCTACTAGCTGAAATTTCAATTAATAGGTATAAATATAATAGATCTATATTACCTGATGTAGAATATTATTTGGGGTTGGGCACAGTGGCTCACACCTGTAATTCCAGCACTTTGGGAGGCCGAGGTGGACGGATCACCTGAGGTCAGGAGTTCAAGACCAGTCTGGCCAACATGGTGAAACCCTGTTCTCCAGTGAAAATACAAAAATTAGCTGGGCGTGGTGGCAGGCGCCTGTAATCCCAGCTACTTGGGAGGCTGAGGCAGGAGAATTGCTTGAACCCGGGAGGCAGAAGTTGCAGTGAGCCAAGATCAGATTGTGCCACTGCACTCCAGCCTGAGAGACAAGAAGGAGACTCTGTCTCCAAAAAAAAAAACAGCATTATTTGGTAAGGCAAAGGATGCATACATATGAATGAAATGTGTCACTAGGGATTAATTTCTAAATGAAATTCAAGTCACCGTAATTTGCATGATATCATAACATTTATGAAAACTTTAAAACAATAGGAAAAACTTCTATAAGTATACATATGTAGTGAAATGTAAAAATATATTCATACATTTGTTAAGAAAAACAGTCAAATTGTTGAAAACCTTTATGTTTATTACATGATTTTTTCTTTTCTAATTAAAAAAAAACCTGCAGCAAATATGCAAACTATATAGAATAATTAATTATAGAAGTTGAATTCTCAATACTATATGACATACTCCTTGTGTTTTATACATTTTATAATAAAGTTTAGATTTTACTTCACCAAATATTTTATGTATGCTTTACACATTTTATAATTCAGTTTAGATTTTATTTTACCAAATATTTTGTTTAATAATCTCTGTATATATACAAAAAATATGTTTTTTGAATATTAAAACTTATAGGAAGAATTCTCCTAAAGTGGACAATGGAGGGGTATGGGAAGAGTCTACAACTTCTTTGATACTCTGCTTAAGGAATGATGATTTCTGTATTTTCTCCCTTTGTATCAGGGCTGAATTTAGTGACTTCTTAGTAATCTAGAAAACAAAATGCAATTGAAGTAAGTAATATCTTATAGCAGGTCACAAAAGGCCATAGAATTTTTCCCTGGTGTTCTCTAGGGTAACTCACCTTGGGGAAGCCAGACATCATGGCTGAGAATATCTTTCTGGAGCCCAGTAGAGCTTTCAATTGAACACAGCCATCAGACTGCAATTGCATGAGTGATTCTATATGAAAATTGCTCAAGGAAGCCCTTCTGATTTCCTAAATCACAAAACCATGAATAAAACAAAATGTTGTAATAAGCCATTTAGATTTGAGTAAATTGTTAATGTTTGATAGGAAATAGAAAAGGCATTTTACTTGTGCTGAAACCAACTGATGAAGGGTTTAACCACAGCTGAGTTATTGGAGGTAGAAGAAGACAGAATGGCACAAAGGAGACATTTGGATGTAAAGATTTTTCTTTTTAAGTAGCTATTGGAAATGAGAGAAAGGAGTTATGAATGACTCTCATTCTTGTGTTTTGGCAATTCCAGTTTAAGTGATAGCATATATATACTATCAACAACCTAATTTTAAAAATACAACATTTAAGAAATAAGTTTAACGGACTGTATCTTCAAATACATCAGAAAACAATGAAACAATTGACATGGTTTGTTTTATGTGAGAATTTGATGTAAATTGAAATTTTATGTATGAAACTTAGAGTAATTAAGAAAATAACTAAACATACTTCAGTGTCAAGCAATAAACGAGAAAGAAACACCAGGTGTTACAAGAGCATGGAGAAGTGATATAGAATCAGACTTCACGGTCAGGGAAAACTTACAAATGCCAGAGAAGCTGAGCTTTGAAAGAAGAGTAAAATTTAGCTCATGAAGATGAAAGAATATTGCATTTAAATGTATATATGCCTAAGAGAGGATAATAAATTTTAAGAGAATTATTGAAATATACAGATGGATTGGTTGCAGAGGAAGATAAAGATGTAATTGTTGGCAGATTGTGGAGTCCCACCATGCACAAAAAGTGTGACTTATTTTCCTTAAAGTTCTCAGCATGCCCTGAAGGATTTTTAAGGTGAAAGATGACATAATTACATTGATGTTTGGAGGGAAGCCATACTGGAAGGCAGAGAAACTATTAGATGACTGGAGCAAAAAGAATCACCACATTGGTTGTGAGTTTCGAGAAATTGAGAAATTGTGGGAAAAGGAAATAAAGTAAAATCTGTAGTCCCTGTATCTCAGTGAACACAAGACGGGAGTGAAGAGAAAAATAGAGCATGAGATAACCACTGGAGTTTGGCTAAGTGCTGAGGGGATGCTATTTTCCTTGATGGTGAAGAGCCACAAATAGACCACACACTCTAAACTGAAACTTTCCAAATCAAAATTATTCCTAGTGCATTTGTCCAATCGTATCGCTTCCATCTTTTGCAAGCCCTTCCTGGTATGTTATGTGAAGTATTGTCTTTCTGGAGTTGTCCTATACAGATGCTCATATGGTATCTTAATTTAGAAATAGAGGAGAAAAAAAAGGTCTTTTTCTGGTAACTATCTATTTGAAAGCATTTAAATACAAACTTTTTTGCATTGGTATAAATTTGCTAGCTTAATTTTTCTGTATCTTAACACAAAACATATGCTCACCTCTCACTGGTGAATCTGCAAGCTGCTAAAAGAATTACGTCTCCATGTATCTAGCTGAACATGCCACTCCATCAATGGTTTCACATCTTTAAATGCAGGATATTTACACTAACAATTTAGATCAAAGTTATCTATATTGTTATCTACCAGGATAGCATTTCTTAAAAAGAGAGACCCAAAAACCATAAAGCACAATGTAATATTAAATAATTTGACTATATTGAAATAAGTGAATTCTGTATAAGTTTAAAAAAGTAAAAAGACAAGTTACATATTATAAAACAATCATTTGTGTTTCATATAATTGACAAAGAAGTCTTTTAAAAACATTAAAATATATATACCTAAAAAAGATGCGGAACTTCCTATTCAACAAGGAATGTGACTCAAAGTAACTTGATACAATTTTTCACCCATCATTTGTACATAAAATTTAAAAACCAGAAAATAATTTAAATCTTACAAGAGTCTTTTCTAAGAAATTTGTTGCACAAGATATTTAATATGGCTTATATTTAAATGGATATCCAGTTGGGAAGACTATAGTTATCCCTAATCACCATTTTGGTATTAATTACTATTTAATTCTCTGCCTTAGTCTTTCTCTTTTTCAAACACACACACACACACACACACACACACACACAGGCACACACATACACACAGAGAGATACTTTTAGATTTTCTAATCCATTGATGCATTGTTTTTATTCACATAACAACAGTAAATCCTCACTTCACATGTGAGCCAGTTTTTGGAAACTACAACAATAAGAAAACCATTTTTTCCCTCGTCAATGTTATAACAAGTTGTCATTGAACAAAACTATGTAATTCCAGGATTTATTGTATATTGTTTATCTTAAAGTCACAGTTACCAAGAACCTGTGGACAATATTAAGTATTTATTGCATACCACATGTCCATTTTGCACTATTTGGGGGAAGTTTTTATTTTTCCTAAGTCAAGCTTTTGACTTTTATCCATCTTGAAAACGTCTCAAAATTTTACTCTTATAAAATAATATTGTGAAAGGAACGTAGAAACTCGAGACTCCAGTTCACTACGCCAAGAGGAAAAAATTCAGCTCAAAGTTGAGTCATAAAAGAGCTGCCTTTCCTTTTGTTCCTAAACAGACAACTACAGATAAAAGCTTAAATATATCAGAGGTAGCTACTCTATGTTCATGTAGTCTTATGAAAAGTGCTGAATAACTGAGACAAAAACATAACTGATCATTCCTCAAACTGCTCATTTTCCCTTGCAACATGTGGATGACCATGTCCTCCTTTTCCTCCAGCCCACTTTTCCCCTTTAAATATTGAAGCCCTCAAAATCATCTTTAAAGAAAGGCACAGACTACTCGCCAAGACATTTCCTTAAACTTGACAAAGTAAACTTCTAAATTGATTGAGACCTGTCTCAGATATTTTTTGGTTTACAATACTGTAATAATTTTGCTAAAATTTGTGAATAAGTCTTCCACAGTAAATGTGAGAAAAATTGCATGGGTAATGTTTCAGCAATTTGCCTCATTATCTACGACTATCAACTGTTATACATCTAATAGGTCAATCTTATCAGTAAACAAATAAGCTGTAATACATTTACCTTAAAAAAAATAGGCTAGGCATCATGGCTCATGCTTGTAATTCCAGCACTTTAGGAGACTGAAGTGGGAGGATCACTTGAGGCTAGGAGTTTAAGACCAGATTGGGCAACAGAATGAGACTGTGTCTCTACAAAAAATAAAAATGTGTCAAGTTGGACACGGCGGTACACACCTGTGCTTCCCACTACTTAGAAGGCTAAGGTGGAGGGCCCAAACTCCTTGGGCCCAGGAGTTTGAAGCTGCAGTGAACTCAGAGTGAGTCACTGCACTCTAGCCTGTGTGACACAGTAAAACTTTGTTTAAAAAAAAATGCATCTATGTTTAATTCTCAATTTGCATATATTTTCACCTATTAGCATTATTTTATGCAACTGATGACTATTTCCTTCCTGAATCCACGTTTGTTCTGATTTCCAGGACATCATACTCTTTTTTTTTTTAAACCTCATTAATCACTGTTTCCTAGTTTCTGTGGGGAACAGGCATGCAAATCTGGCCATAAACTGGCCCCAAAACTGGCCATAAACAAAATCTCTGCAGCACTGTGACATGTTCATGATGGCCATGATGCCCATGCTAAAGGTTGTTGGTTTACTGGAATGAGGGCAAGGAACACCTGGCCCACCCAGGGCAGAAAACCACTTAAGGCATTCCTAAGCCGCAAACAATAGCATGAGTGTTCTGTGCCTTAAGGACATGCTCCTGCTGCAGACAACTAGCCAGAGCCCATCCCTTTTTTTCCCATTTTAGTTAATCTATAATCTATAGAAACAGTGTTTATCACTGGCTTGCTGTCAATAAATATGTGGGTAAAACTCTGTTCGTGGCTCTCACCTCTGAAGGCTGTCAGCCCCCTGATTTCCCACTCCACACTCTATATTTCTGTGTGTGTGTCTTTAATTCCTCTAGTGCCACTGGGTTAGGGTCTCCACAACAGAGCTGGTCTTGGCAGTTTCCATGGCTAGATTTGCCTAATAACCCTGAGCTTTATGTACTGGAGTATGTTAGGGCACAGTCTTAGGACTTCTCCTCTTGTCTATTGATCTCACCCATTCTCAAGGCTTTGACCATCATGTATAAATAATTTCCCACTTCATATCTCTACCAAAATTTTCCATTAAATTCCAGGCTCATTTATCAAAGTACCTACTAGAATCTGTATTTGGATTTCTGATAAGCATCTGAAACTAAACTTGTTCAAACCTTAATTCAACATCCCCCTGTGACTAACCAGATTATCCTTCAATTTATCCAACTCAGTACATTGCAATTTCATATTTCAGGTTGCTCAGATATAGTCTGTTTCTATTTGTCCTTGTTTCAAATACCAACACTGGAAAGTTAGTTTCATGGTTACCTGGTTTCTATCAGGTAGTTAAAAACACCACTCTTTGATTGGTGGAGAAAAAGAAACCTGATTATCTTCAGATCTTCTTTGTGTTAAGGAGTCTCTTTTCTCCAGACAGCTGAGAAATCAATGATTTATTTCATATTTTTATCAACCATTGATAAAATTCTCAATGCTTTTATCTTTTGCTCTGTTATTTAAATTTTTAGTCTTTTTCACTGATTTTGTAATTAAAAACAAACATCCTCTTACAAAAGGAAGATTCTTTTATGATGATCTGTTTATAGCTGTGTTGGTTCTTTTGCATCTGTAGAAGATACTTTTTAAACATTTGGAGACAATTGAACCTAAAAATTTATCATTTGTATGCACTATGATAATATCAAAGACATGCAAGCAGACATTAATGTTGAATAATTAAAAAAACTAATTATTTTTATAACAATTATATAAATGAGTGTAAATAAATGTTGGAATGGGAATACAGATGGAATGGGAAGGATGATTTCTAGTCTGTCTGTAGTTTTATGCCTCCTTAAAAATCTTAAAGTCAATTCTAAGTAATAAATTTTCTACTTAATAGTTCTAGTTTTTTGTTTGTTTGTTCATTTGTTTTTGAAATGGAGTCTCACTCTGTTACCCAGGCTGGAGTGCAGTGGCGTGATCTTGGCTCATCGCAACCTCCGCCTCCTGGGTGCAAGCGATTCACCTGCCTCAGACTCCGGAAGACCTGAGATTACAGGGGTGAGCCATCGCACCCAGCTCTAGTTATTTTTTTTTAATCTTTACAATTTTCTTTGTAAATAATCATGTCATGTGGGAATAGAAACAGTTTTATTTCTTCCTTTCCAAACGTTATATATTTTATCTTTCTTTATTTCTTAATTAGGGTATCCAGTACAATGATGAATAGAAATGGATAAAGCAGAAACACTTGTGTTATTCTCAATTCCAGAGGTAAAACTTTCAATATTTTACCATTAAGTATGATCATAGTTGTAGATTTTTTTCTTCTGTTTTCTCCTTTTTTTCTCTTCCCTGCTCCTGCCCCTCTTCCTCTGTTCTTTTGTAGATATCCTTTACCAAATAAAGAAAATTCTCTTCACCAAGAAATGGATCATGGTGGTATTCTGATCCGAGACTTCTAGATTCCAAAACTGTGAGAAAAAAAAATGTCTGCTGTTTAAGCCACCTTGTCTTTGGTGACAACCCAGGCTGATTAAGACAGTTATCATATATTATTTATTTACATATTACTAGATTCTATGTAACATTTTGTTAAGTTTTATGTTTACAAGTTATTTCATATTTTATGTCAAGTTTTTTTAAGGGTTTTATAAAGATTTTGCTGCCCTCATGAAACAATTAGGTAACATTTTTCTATGTTGTGAAAGTAAAATTGGTATCATATCTTCTTAAATAATTGATTTAAATTAAAATTTACCAGTAAAATTACTGATGTCTTGAATTTCTTTGTAGGAAGACTTATGGGAGTAGATTCAGTTTATTTTACAGGTAGGTAACCATTCAGATTTTTTTCATCACATGCTACTTTTAGTCAGCTTTAATTTTCAAGAAATTAATCAATTTTGTCTAAGCTGTTTATTTAACTGGCATAATACTATATTCATAACATTCTTGTAACATTTTCTTTTTATGTCTACTGAATCTATAGAGGTACTGAAGCAGTGTTGTCTGTCTGGGGAAATACCCAAGGTTCATTGTTTTGCACTAAGGAAATTGAAAACATGGACACCCATGGAGTAGATTTAAGAGAGGAAAGTTTAATAGGCGAAAGAAGAGAGAGCTTCCTTGTGAGAGGCAAGGGACCCGAGTGGGCTTCTGAGTTTAAGGCAAGATGTGACTGGTTTTATAGACAAGCTTGAGGAAATCGTGTTTGATTTACATAAGTTGCAGCAGATTGGTTGGGCCGGGTGTGTCATTTACATAGTGTGCCAGACAGCTGGTCATCCCATCCTAATTTTTTATTATGAAAGTGAGGTCTTTATCTGGCTGGCACCATGTTACCTGCACATGTGGCGACAAAGAAAAGAGAAGAGGAAACCTCCATGTTGAATATACCTGGCTTCCAGATATCCCTTTTCTATTGACACAGCTGCTGGCATTTACCTATGCAAGCTTCCAGCTTGCTTATCTATGCTTGTAGCTTGATTTTTCAGCTTGCTTTTTGTTAGTAAAGAAATGATTTGGGGGCTGCCTTTTTACTAAGAAAAAATCCCACCAAGAACTCTTTGATCCTTACTTACTGCTTAAATAATTTCTTTTTAACCCCTCTATTAGTAACTTTTCTTTTACTCCTGGTTTTGGCCATGTGCATGCTCTGTTTTCTTGTGCACACTGAGTGTGTAAATGTTATTGAGATTTTCAAAGAACTAACCTTTGGATTTCTTAATTTTTTCTACTAGTATTTGTTTTCTATTACTGATTTTTCAGTCAATCTTTACTATTTCTTTTTTTTCGATTTACTTTTGGTTAATTTTGCTCTTCTTTTCTTAGCTTTTCAGTTTGGAAGATGAGACCATTGATTGTCAATTTTTCTTCCTTTCTGATAATAGGCTTTCAAAGCTGTAAATTGTCTTCGAAGCACTGCTTAGCTGTGTCCCACAAATTTTGTCAGGTCTTATTTTCCTTATCATTCAGCTCAAAATATATTCTAAACTATATCTGTTGATTTCTTCTTTGAGCTATTACTTATCTAAGAGTGTGTTGTTAAATTACAGTGGTTACTTTTCTTATAACAGTTTTTCTATCATAAATATAAACATGGATTAATTTTTTTCTTACTGTTCAAGACATGTACTTCTTTAATCTATCTTTCATCAATCTGGAATATTTCACACCAGCCTGGGCAACATAGGCAGACCCCGTCGTTAAAAAAAAAATTCTTAAAATTACTCAGTCATGTGGTGGCACATGCCTGTAGTCCTATCCACTCAGGAGCCTGAGGTGGGAGGATCACTGAGCATAGGAGGTTGAGGCTGTAGTGAGCCTGATCACTCCACTGCACTGCAGCCTGAGCAAGAGAGCAAGACCCTGTCTCAAAAACAACACAACAACAAAAAAGAATTTTTATAAGTATCGACTTTTTAAATACTCTTTACTTTTAGAATTCCTATTAAACATTTGTGATATCTGCTATTTAAACTTGTAGTTTCCTTGGGCTGCCATATAAAATTACCACAAAATCGATGATTTAATATACATTAATTTATTCTTTTATAGGAGGCCTGGAGTCTGAAATCTAGGTGTGAGCAGGAATTCATTCCTAGCAATGGCTCTATGAAATTTAAACATACCAGACTCCAAGGAGAATTAAAATATCTGGTATGGCATGTACAGCCTAAGTATCTGTTTATAGTATGTCTTCTGCAAACTCTCTAGGGGAGAATCTTTTCAGGCTTCTTCTAGCTTCTGCTGGCAGTTGACATTCCTTAATTTATGACCACATCAGTCTAATTTCTGCCTTTGTCTTCATGTCACCTTCTTTTATGCTGTCTACCAAATCTCCTCTGCCTCACACTTATAAAGACACTTGTCATTGGAATAAGACCTGCCCGAATAATCTAGAATGATCTCCTCATCTCAAGATTCTTTATTTGATTAAATCTGCAAAACCATTTTCCCAAATAAGGTAATGTTTACAGGTTTCATTAATTAGAACATGAACGTATCTTTCAGTGTGTTACAAAAAAACCCACTACAATTTTTTTCATTTATCTTAATTGCAAGAGCTACTTGATTTATTTATTAGTCCGAGTTCTCCAGAGAAACAGAAACTTTAGGATATATGTGTGTGTGTATATATGTGTATATATATATATATACACACACGCATAAAATATGTATTTATATACATACACAGATATATATTGGCTAATGTGATTGTGGAGCTGGCAAATCGAAACTCTGCAGGGCAGGCCAGCAGACTGGAGGCCCAGGGAAGTTGATATTGCAACCCAAGTTGAAAAGCAGTCTGGAGGCAGAATTTCAACTTCCTTGGAGGATTTCAGTCTTTTTCTTTAAAGGGCTTCAGCTGATTGAATGAGGTCCACTATATTATGGAAGTTAATCTATTTACTCTAAGCCTACCGACTTAAATGTAAATCATGTCTGAAAAATACCTTCACAGCAACATCTAAACCAGCGTTTGGCCAAATACCTAGGTACTATGGCCTAGCCACATCCACATGAACACATAAAGTTAAGCATCACAATTAATTTCCATAATTTTATTTTTGTTTAAATCTACCTGTCCTCTTTGTTTACAGTCTCTCTGTTTCTTTTCTTTACAATTTATAGACTTTCCATTTTCATGTTCAAAATTTCTTAGGCCTACAATCCTCTTTTATTTATCTGCTATAATTAACTCATTTGGATTAATCTCATTTTTTACATTGTGATTTTATCTTCAACCACACTGTTTTCTTTTTGTGAGGATCTCATGAACTTGTGATGTTTTTTAGCCAGTTTTAGGTTTTGCTAAGTGCCACAGATATTTATTTTGATATTAATCCATTGGTTTGGAGATTCTTATACTATGATGATAGTGTAAATCTGGGCCCTGTACCCACAGGCATTGGTTTCTCAGTTGAGTCCTGTCTGAACAGAGATTTGTGTGCGTGTGTGTGTGTGTGTGTGTGTGTGTGATGGTGTGAAGTTGAATAGTGGAAACAGATACCATATGACCCACAAAACTTAAAGTATTTACTGTCTAGTTTTTACAAAAATAAAAATAAAATCTGCTGACACCTGCTCTTTGGGCCTGCAAAAGAGAATTAGCTGGACGTGAAGGGAAATGAGAAAATGGTTATTTTTAGTCTGTGAAAAACCATTCTCTAAGAATGGTTTTGCTTGTTCATCATTTTCCCTGTTTACAGAGTGCCTAAGTAGCTGTTGGTGATTGAGGCTGTGGCATTGTCTACTACTTTTTCTCTTGCAGGCAAACAAACACCTATAAACAGAATCTTCGCATAATTTACATCTTTTTTTTTTTAACTTCAGGTTACACGGATAAAACCCAAACACATCAGACTCAGAGCTCAGAGGAGAATTAAAATGTCTGTTACGGCATATCTAGTCTAGCTATCTTGTCACGGTGTGTCTTCCACAAATTAATGCCTCTTGCCCAAACTGTTTGGGCATCCCTATGTGATTCTTTTATCTTCTGATTGTTGGCACAGCATTCCAGGCTTCTCATTACATTTTCCAGTTAATGTTTGCTAATGGCAAACATCCAATACTAGCATTTCTAAAGCATGATAGATTTCAGTCCCAGAGTAGAGTCCAATTCCTCAGAAGAGTGAATCCCAAGGTATGTTAGAGCAAAAACCTGGAATAATTTCAATTTTTTATATTCAGAAACACCTCAAATTTCTTAATACATTATGTATTCCTGGAAAATGAGTGTCTTAGTCAGTTTGGGCTGCTATAATAAAGTACCGTAGACTGGGTGGGTTTTAAACAATGAAGATTTATTTCTCACAGTTCCATAGGCTAGAAATACAAGACCAGGGGGCCAGCATGGCTGTGGTCTTGAGGACCCTCTTCTAGGTTGCAGACTGGTGTTTCTGTTGTATCCTTACATGGCTCCACTCTCATGACCTAATTACCTCCCAAAGAGCCTATCTCCTAATCTTCATTACCTTGTGTGTTAGGGTTTCAACATACGAATTTGTGGGGACACAACACAAATATTCAGTCTCTAATAGTTGGCTAATGATATATTTCCAGGTTGTAAGTTTATGGTGGTTTTTATTCCATTTCATCTATGTAGTAAGCTTTCTTTAACCTATCAAAAATTGATTCTCATTCTAGCATGTCCAATCTCAAATAGCATATTTTCTCCCAAACCTCAATTGTATTTTACTGTTTTCCCATGATTTTAAAGTATAGGTCTGACCAATGACAGCCCTTTGAGTCAGAAGTCTAATGATAAGACTATAGTCAGATAGGGAAAAGGTGATCTTGTCAAGTTAGGGTAAAAATTTAATCTAAGATGCACCTGAGTATTCATTGTACCTTAAAACCAAAACATTAAAAGCCTGAAAATGCATTTCTTAAATATGGGATTTCCCCAGGGCATTATTACAGTTTAAAAAAATATCTGAGTTAAATCTTTAAAAAACAATGCAAAAATTAGTGGGGTTTTTTGAAAGCAAACCCTAGGTGAAAATTCTGTAAAATTGCTTTCAAAATATTTCCTTATTGTACTCCTTTCAAACTCTGCTGCTGCTGAAACGTTTCTCTTCTGTCCCTTAATTTTCTGTCTCTTACCTTTACTTCCTCTTTCTTTCACTCTCACTCCTGTTTCTTCTAATTCCTCATTCTGTCCCTCCTCTGCTTACAATTGGTGAGACATTATTGCCTTCCAAATACCAACACTCCTAACTCTTGCACACTCTCATTGCAAGCAGACTCTTGGGAATCATTTTCTTTCTTTTTGCTGACTACTTTTTTTCTTGTGAAGTAGATCCTATTGGAAATCTAGTGATTAAGTCATCCATCTTGCTGTACAACTAAATACTAAAATCCTTTTCTTTGATTCTTTCTGGGTTGCCAGCAATATTATCTCACGCTTGCTACATAAATTTCCTTGCTCCACAAACGATCTCATTCAAAACCTCCTTATTATTTAAGAAAATGCTGTGTACCAAGAAAGTTTCCAGTAAATATTAGCAGATGATTTATAACAATGTAAGGATGATTATGAGTGATGATAGAGGATCTACAGTGCTTACATGTTTCATGGTGATTTTAATGGTTGAAAAATTGTGTTTTGTACTTGAGATTACCCATTCATCCTGCAGTTACATCAATTATTGTTTATGGGAATATTTAAAAATTCATATATATTTTTAAGAAGTGAGCACTTATAATGTTTCTAGGTTACAGACAACTGCAACACACTTTAGAATTGTATAAATCTATTATTTTCTAAAGAAGCTGTAGCCACTTAAAAATACTATAAAACACAATGATTTCATAGCTTTATTTAAAGATTAATTACCATTATTTTAAAAAGAGGATGACATAAGTAATATTTTAATAATTTTTCTTTAGGAATAGTCAAATTATAAGTGTGTAGCCAAGCAATTATATAACGTAATGACATAGTTATATTTATGATTGACAGGTAGTATTTGTTCTTTTCTTCATATTTATTGGTTTTCTACAGGATATATCATATTATACACTATTTTCCAAATATGAGTTACATTAGAATCTCCATTACTTCAAAATATGCTGAAAAGATATGAGTCATTGTGTTTCCTGGCATTTCAAAACTGCTAAAGGTGTAAAATTTAATGTTTAGATAACAGCATTTGACGTTGTGACAAATGACTAATTAGTATATTTTCAACATTTACCTATAGAAGTAAAAACTGAAGACAAATACTTCATGCAACTTGTTTCTGTGATATTATTTTTTACCAACAGCACAATTTTCTGCAGAGACACTTTTCAGAGAAGTATGTACAATTAAAAGTTTAGAGACTAAAACTTTGGTACAGCTACAAAAAAATATTGTGCCAAGTTGATAGTTAACATTTTATTGTAGTTGTTTTGCACCTTGTTGATCTGGAAGTTAATAATTCAGCATTCTAGAGTGGGTTACTTTACAGTTTATAACACAATCTCATATTTATCACATTATACATCTATATCACTTCTACCTCTTCCAAAACAGTTTTTATTACTAAATAGTAAATCTTTTCGAGTGTAGAGAATATCATGAGATTTGCTGGATAAATTAACTGCTTTGCAAATGGCATAAGAAATGTCACATTTTATGAATCAGAGTTAACAAGATCTAAAAAATGATACTGCACATATTTCACAGTGCATTATAGGAGTAGTCTATCTCAGTGTATTGCAGGGACTTACTCTCAAATTTCAAAGCATCAGCAAAGAATCTCTTTCCAGCAAGTTTTAGTAGTGATTTCACCAAGATTACTCCAAACATCATTAATACCTAAGAGGTTTCTAACATGATATGGATGAGAGGATGCTGAGAAAATATTTTAAAATGCATTTTGTCTGAAGTGTGACAATTTTTAATTCTTTTATAACTATTTTATTCTTTATTTCTCAGTCAGGTATTTATTACATGATACTATTTATTCTAAATGACAGTGACAATTGCCTGAGGTTTTCAGAATGTATTCTTGTATATTGAAAACTTTATACATTCACAATATTCTATAAATATGAAGAACATAAAGTTTATTAGAATTGTTTACATAAATTAGCTTTTTCAAGGAAATTTTTTATGTTGTTTTTGATTATCTCATTTTTGAAACACCATGTTTGAATGAAAAATTATGATTATTTCATATTTAAAAGAGTATTCCATATGTAAAAAGATGGGTCAATACCTACAAGACAGAATTTTTTCCACATAACAAAAAGAAGTTCTTAAAAGACAAGATAATAAAGGAGAAATAAGAAACCACCTGATTAATAATATAAATTGATTCCAAATAAGCTTAAAAATATTTGATTTATGCTTATCTAATTAATTTGTTCTTTCTCTCACTGCACTGCTCTAGTTATTTTATAATATATTTTGGATCTTACAGATCTTTCCACTCCTTCCTTGTAGAAAATAGATAATATTCATCAGATTGATAATCAAATCTATGAAGCAATGATAAAAGCACATTAAGGAAACAATTATTATTATTATAACAGCCCATGTACATGATAAGAACTAACTATTTTTTAACAAATTACAGCCTGTTTCATCATAACATCTTGGAACCACCTTAGGAATGGAAATTTACTGGCTGGTTGTTGAAGCTAAACAGAGTGCGTCATTAGTAGGCTAATAAGTTAAAATAAGCCATTATTCAAAATACAAACTTTAAAAAACATTACAGTTTTTAGGTATTACTAGATAATGGTTGTAACTCTTCACTAAGAAACTGTCTGCAATTATTACACTAGACCTTGAATTGCTCATTCATAATTGCCTTCACATATGAGGGAGCATGGTGAATGCTGCTCCTGACAATAACAAAGATGTATCATTCCTATCTGTGTTATTAACAAATAACAAATTAACTGTGTAACTATTGCTCATAATTTAGCCTCATTTATGCCTTATCATTTTCCTTATAGAGCGTATATGACATTAATACTAATGCAATAACCAACATTTCTTGTATCTTTTGAAATTACTTACAGAGTAGTCAAGTCAATAGAAAACTATACTGAATTGGGGCTGAGTGTTCCTGTGGCAGGCCTTGTGTGTCAGGACCCATGCAGCTTGGTTTACTTCAACTTATCTCTGCCAAATACTTGAGTCACTGTTCATGAGTATTCTACTAGGGATTGTGAACTCATTGATAGGTTGTTTATGTCATATAAAGAGCACTGATATTTCAAAAACTGAAATTGTATACTTTAAATATGTAAGATGAAAGCCCATTTTATCCATCATTTAAGACCCTGGACCACATTAAACGTAGACTTCTAGTTGAAGTTTAGAATGAACTAGAATATAGGAAAATGCCCTAATAATTTAATGTATTAGTCTGTTTTCACATTGCCATAAAGATACAGCCCGAGACTGAGTAATTTATAAAGGAAAGAGATTCAATTGACTCACAGTTTTGCATGGTTGGGGAAGCCTCAGGAAACTTAGAATCATGGCAGAAGGGGAAGCAGGCACGTTCTCCTCAAGGTGGCAGGAGAGAGAAGAGTGAAGGAGGAACTTTCTAACACAAACAAAACCATCAGATCTCATGAGAACTCACTCACTATCACAAGAACAGCATGGGGGAAACTGCTCCCATGATCTGATCACCTCCCTCCTTCAACACGTGGGGATTACAATTTCAGATGAGATTTGAGTGAAACCATATCAATTAGCAATTGTTGTTCTTTGTTCTTTCCCACTTTCCCTACTTCTCTCCTTCTTGCCTTTCCCTCTCTCTCTCTCTGCCTACCTCCTTCCTTTCTTTGTTCCATATTTAAATATTATTATTTCTGTTTATGTTGGAATCACAAGGCCCTGCTCCCCCTTGGTTTCAACCATACTATTAATAGATTTTCACAGTTTCTTTTTCTCAGCCTTGAACAGATACCCTACAAGAAGCAAATTTTGAGGGAAGCAAAAGTTTATTCTGTCTTATTTTACTAACATCACATGACTATCATTATGTGGTCATAAAAAGCACATTCTTCTATATTAAAAGTATAAGGCCAGGCACGGTGGCTCATGCCTGTAATTCCAGCACTTTGAGAGGCCTAGGAGGGTGGATCACTTGAGGTCAGGTATTCAAGACCAGCCTGGCCAATATGGCAAAACCCCATCTATACTAAAAAAATATTAAAAATTAGCCAGGCATGGTGGTGGGCACCTGTAATCTCAGCAGCTCCAGAAGCTGAGGCAGGGAGAATTGCTTGAACCTGGGAGGCAGAGGTTGCAGTGAGCCAAGATTGCACCACTGCACTCCAGCCTGGGTGGCAGAGCGAGACTCCATCTCAAAACAACAAACAAACAAACAAACAAACAAAATATACGTTAAATAAATGAAGTGTTTAAGAGGAAAATAGTTATCCGACAGTTATGCAAGATGAGGCCTAAGAATTGGCCTTTGGGCTTTCTAATGCTTAGCTTTTATAGATACTAATATATGTGTGTTTATGTGTGTGTTTTAACATGAGATAAATTACTGCAGTTGCATGTTGCAGGAAATAATACCATTAAATGAGGAAAAATATTAAGGGAGAAGTGAAAAAGGAAGAGAGAGAGATTGAATTGCCAGAGTAATATTGAATAGGCAAGAGAGGATGGGTTCAATGCATAAGGAGACAGGATAGCCCCAGGAAGGAACAGAGATTGTTCATCTTTAGTTGGAGAAAGAAAGGAAGAGAATATGGTTAGTGATGCTGACAGATAGGTGGATATTTTCCTCAATAAAAAGGCAATGGAAGCCAGTAAAAGAGAAAGTGTAATAAGGCATAAATGAGGCAATGGGAAAAGTGGGAGGTGTTTAACGAACTTGAGGAGAGAGGAGAAAATGTAATTGTCTTCTAGAAGAGTAGTATAATGAATAGATTATGAAACACTGATACAATGACTGGGCAGCATTTAGTGGTCACTTTAGTAACCACAGATTTGCAGTAAGACTGTTAGGCTTTTTGTGCTTTGTATCATTATCTAGTTATAGAATCAGAGTGGGTAGAGACATCACTTAAACAAGATTAGGGTTTTCTCAAAAGACTAGGAAGAAATAGAAGGTATGAGAATTAAAGCTATATACAAAGGACTGATTATAATGCTGTCACAGATAATTTAATCTATATAAGATGAAAATGTAGAAATGAAGAGGGTTATAATTTGTGAAAATAAGTGATCTAAGCTAATTTTAGGCTCTTGTTGAGAAGAGAAATATAACAATTAGGTAATTGCTGTACTCTGGGGATAGAGTAGAAAGATATTGAGATCAAAATAATGAGGGAGTTGCTGTGATTAGAGATTCTATATCACAACTACGGGATTAAGTGGCTAATATTAGGAGGAGGACAAAATTATTGAAATCTATGAAGTCAAAAAATGGAAAGTCAAGGGGTTTGGAAGAACAATCAAAGTTGTTACTAAAATTATGCGTACTTACAATAGGAGTAATATTAGAGAGTAACAGAGAGCTAGAAGACAGAATACCGACTGAGTGAAGGCAATTAACCTAGGGACTTTATAACAATCAGGCATATTGGATACTATGAAATAATGATGCAACATTTCTGTGGGTACTATGGTGTGCTATCACATGACTTAAAGTTGGAAGTGCCTAACAGAGAAAGAGAAAAAAAAAACAATATCAGAAAGCAGTGTAAAGAACACTTAGCACATTTCTTGGCCCAATAGTGTGAAATGTGTGAAGAGAAAGTAGCTAAGAGTTTTGAAGGCAGAAAGAGAATGCGTGTTCCCAGGAGAGAGCCATTTTCAAGTTAGACTAAGAAGCCAAAGAAGACATTTAGGACAAAAGTTCAGAATAGAGGTGATTTTGCAGATAATTGATTGTCAGTCCCAACAAGCATGGTATAAAGAGTTCAGAGTTTAAGAAAGGAAGTCAATGGCGTCATAAAGAGAAAAGGCAGAGCCTTATGGGGATTTGACTACATGAGATGAGAGGTGACCTGAGTCTTAAGACTTCTTGTGGTTCAAAATGAGATGAGATTTGGTGATCTTAAAGTTGAACATTTTGATGAGATGTAAGTGTAGTGGTATTGGGACATATGCCTTGTCAAGAGCACTCTTAGACCCAGAGGCCTGTATTGATCCTTGCAGTAGAAGTGAGAAGACCAAAGTAGTGGTAATGGGACATAATATGAGAATATAGGACTCTGTTGATATTTATTAGTGACTGAGAGATGGTATGGCCATTAATAGTGGTGCTATGGAAGCCAGGTGGTATGTAGTCTTAGTTAACTGATTTAAGAAAATGGAAAAAAATATATATGACTAATGTAGTCACCCTCTGACTTGATAATCTTTCAGTTATAATATTCATGCTAGCCATTATCTAAATTCAAGAAAGAAGGAAAAGAGTGAGGAGAATAATGAAATATTTCTGTGGGATTTTGTTCTAAATGGGGTCAGAAAAATAGAATAAAAGCTGAGGATACATGTGATTTACTCATGTGAATATAACCTCCTTATGAATATAAGGTATATAATAATCATACACATATTTTTACACAAGACCACTGCCAGTTAGAAATAATAGAGTGCAAACATCAAAAGTCCTCTGTAAATCAAATAAAGAGAAGCAGATATAAAGGGCACTAAATAATATATCAAATAACTAAGTTTCTCTGTATAGAACAGAACAGATGTAACCACTACTAAGAACATTTTAGTACATGTGTCTAAAACCCACATAATTTGTCTGATGGATATTAGGAAAGAAGGAACAAAGGGAACTATAAAAATAATCATCTTGAGACAGTATCTTTGTTGGCTCTGAATCTTATAAAAGCTAATAAAAACTACTTGTCTCTGGAATTAAAAGGATCATTCAAGTGTCCTTGGACTTGCAGGGAAAGAGCATATACAACTGTTATCTAGACTTTTGTCTCCATAAAATGGGTAAATATCTTCTGTAATAGTTGCTTCTTTCACTATGAATTTCTGGTGAGTATTTTTTGTTTGTTTGTTTGTTGTTTTCCTTGCTGGCAGCACTCTTTTTTAATGCATATTAGAATACAGACTGCTGAAAAACAAAGCTTAAAAGTGTGCATAGTTTTACTTAATGAAAAGCAGTTTTATATTTCACATGGAGATTGTCATCTCTTCTGCCCTCTGCTGATGGGATTTGCTCATATTAATTTCAAAGCCTGCTGTTCCTTTCTAAACTAGTAAAGGTAGGAGGAGGGTTTTTAACATTAAAGCTAAATTATGCAATTTTTTATTTTCTATAATTATACAGATTTTCATATAAAATTGAGGAATCTGGATAATCTCAATTATAAAGAAAACCATAATTGAGTTAAATATGTTTTCTTCTCTTATATCTCGCAAACATCAAAAACACTATAAATGAAGTTACAGTAATGATTTCTAATCAGTTTTATAATTTGGTTATCAGACACGTTTTAAAGTCAGGAAAAAATAGTAACAAAAAAAAATAGAAGATTTCCACAGTATTTTGTGCTTGTCATGTAGGCTATGTAGACTGTAACTTGTAATCTACTGGATTTCACATTTCTAACCTTGAACTAAGAAGCAAAACAAAATGAAAAATAAAGTATGGCATGCACATTCTTTCTTTCCAGATAACATAAACCCTCCATGATCTTTACAAGAGGTATTTTGTTCTTTGTTTGTTTTCTTGTTTTTAGCTATTTTCAGTTCTGTATCTTCTTTACTCTTCATTTCTTTCTGGCAGATTGCTAGAATATTTTTCTGCCATTTAAAAAAATCAACTTTTACTCTATTAAAAAATCACACTTTTTATTTTAAGCATGGTGCCTCCAGCAATAAAATAGGTCTGTATTTTGAGGCTGTTTTGAAAAATTCTGTCATGTTAAGGAGCCTTTGTTTTAGTATGCTCACATGTTTTGAAGTGACATGAATTTTCTCTAAAGTTGAAAGTAAAAGTAAATGGTTAATAAATTCTTATCAAGGTTTCAGTAGTGGCCCTTTAGCAGACAAATATGGATTGAAATCTCAGTCTTTATTCTTTGGTAAGCTATTTTACTTCTCTATGCTTCAATATCCTCACTGATAAAACAGAGATGATAATGACTACTCCAGTGAAGAGTCATAAATATTTAATTAAATAATATACATAAATTACAAATGAAAGATTTTGCTATATAGTGACCATTTTGGAAATATATCCACTTATTATCAAAAAAAACTAGATGCTAAATTGAGGTAAGATGAAGAAAACCAAGACGGCAAGAAATGATTAGATTGATATAACAGGTGGTTTAAAATTTATGTGTCCATATTGCTAACTCAGTTATATCTGAATGGCTTTTTGTTTAAAATTAATTCTTTAGGAGACTATAACACAATATATACCAGACATTATTATTTTAATGAAATATCCAGAAGGTTTAGGATTAGCATTTCCTTAAGCACAAACATTGGCTTTACAGTGTGACTGCCAGAGAGACAGATTATTACTGCTGACACAAAAAACTATGAAACACCACAAATGTGTTTACTTTCCAGACACATTAAAGAGCTTCAGACATGAGGCCATATTATAAGCATATGTTGATGAATGAAACAAGCATAATCTGTCGTCTTATAAACTTTGATGCAACTCAGATGGACAGACAAATAAAGAGCATGTAAATCAGTGACAAAAAAGTATGTCATTAAAAATTGTTATAAATACCTTGATTAAAAATGGAAAATGCTGAGGTAGAGATTAGCAGAGTGAGGGAAGGAAAGCCTTCTTAGAGAAATGAAGGTAGACAGAAGTCAGAGAAGAGAAAAAAATGATTGAAATAAGAATCAAAGAATAAAGAAAAGCCAGTAATGTAAAGAAAGGGGAATAGGCCTTTGCAGCAACTTGGATGGAGTTGGAGGCCATTAATTCTAAGTAACTCAGGAACGGAAATCCAAATAGCACATGTTCTCACTTCTAAGTGGAAGCTAAGCTATGAGAACACAAATGCGTAAGAATGATATAATCAACTTTGGGGAACTCTGGGGAAAGAGTAGGAGTGAGATGAGGGAGAAACGACTACATATTGGATTCAGTGTACACTGTTTGGGTGACAGATGCACCAAAATCTAGAAGGCACCACTAAATAACTTATCCATGCAACCAAAACTACCTGTTCCTCAAAAACCATTGAAATTAAAATAAAACTTAAAAACACAATGAATTTAGAGCAACCTAAAAAAAAAAGAAATGAAACAGCAAATGTAAAGGTCTAAAATGAACAAGAGTTGGATGGTATAGGAGTTTAAAGCTAACTATTTACAGTCATGAGCCAGATAATGATGTTTAGGTTAATGACATGCTACATATAATAGTGGTCCCACTATAGTATGATATAATATATAATATTATAGTATAATATTAATATTAATATCATATTTTATTATTATATTTATTATAATACATATTATAATATATTATACATTAAAATATATTATAGTAATATATTTTATTATTATATTTATTAATTTATTAATGAAATATTGTATTTATTAATAAAAATATTATGTTTATTAATATAATATACTATTAACATAATATAATAGTATACTATAATATTTTTACTGTACCTTTTTACATTTAGACAGGTTCAGATATACAAATATCGTTTTGTTACAATTGCCTACAGTATTTAGTACAGTGACATTCTATATATGTTTGTGGCTTAGGAACAATAGGCTATACCATATAGCTGAGGTGTACAGTAGTCTATGCCATCTAGATTTGTGTAAATATACTCTATGATGTTCCCACAGTGTCAAAATCATCTAACAACACATTTCTCTGAATATATTCCTGTCTGTAATCCACACATGACTGTATCTGCAACACATTAAAGAAGAGAATAATTTGAAATAATTTTGAAAAGGTAATGAGAGGAAATCATGAAGTGCCTTACAGACCATATTAAGAAATTTACGTTTTATTCTCAGGAACATAGAAAGTCACTGGGTGGTTTGAATCAGGTGATTGATAAGGTCAAATTTATATTGTAGAAGAACCATATTGTCAGTCATATGAAGATCTGCTACAGTGTCTGTACTGTGCTTTGAAAATACGTTTATACTGACAAAGGGATGTTTGTGTGTGTGTGTATATGTGTGTGTGTGTGTGTGTGTGTATTTGTTTACTTAACAACTATAGGGCCTAAATCCGTAATTCTCATTCCTGGAGTGGTTGATCAACATCTGAAAGATTGATCTGGAGTCTACACTATGGAAATAATTCTGCCCAGCCCTTCACATAAACCTGTTTAACAACAATGGTTAGTACATTTTCATTTTTTTCAAAACTTTTCCAAAATGTTTTGAAAAATGATACACTGCTTTGCACATTTTAAAATTATATTTCAAATATTTTTATCAGAATTATAAGTGTTGCTAAAAGAGCAATTTTTACTATATTATAAATTATGACATTTTAAAACTAGACCATTGACATTACAAAATTAAACCATTCTTTTAACAAATATAACCAATAGAATCTAAAGTCATTTTATACTAACTGTCATTCATGTAAAAATACCTACAAAAATGTTATTTGGCTGCAATTTTAAATATTTCCATTTACCTGTTAATCAATATTTCCATTTACCTTTTTTACAGGATTCTACCTGAATGTAATCTATTTGATTGGATTATTTTATTGGGCATTTGTTATGTTGCTCTATAATAAAAACAGTGTAAATTGAAATATTTTTCTAATTAATTGTTTTTAATTATTTTCATTTTGAAAATTATTTATTGGGCCAATTCATCTACTTTTTGTAACTAATTATATCTCATTGGGTCATCACTATCTGGAACTTTCCAATCTGATAGGGAATTAATAATGTACTCAATAATCATTAATGCACTTTCTTGTGACTTGCACTTCTTGATGACCCAATCCCTAGCACTGTCAGGCCTCTGAGCCCAGGCTAAGCCATCAAATCCCCTGTGACCTACACGTATATATGTCCAGATGGCCTGAAGTAACTGAAGAATCACAAAAGAAGTGAAAATGGCCTGTTCCTGCCTTAACTGATTACATTACCTTGTGAAATTTCTTCTCCTGGCTCAGAAGCTCCCCCACTGAGCACCTTGTGACCCCTGACCCTGCCCATAAGAGAAAAACCCCCTTTGACTGCAATTTTCTGCCACCTACCCAAATCCTACAAAACAGCCCCACCCCTATTTCCCTTCAGTGACTCTCTTTTCGGACTCAGCCCGCCTGCACCCAGGTGATTAAAAAGCTTTATTGCTCACGCAAAGCCTGTTTGGTGGTCTCTTCACACAGATGTGTGTGACGAGCACTACTTTTAGTTCTTTATCTTTGCTTTTTCTTTTTTTTTTTGTTTTTGAGATGGAGTCTTATCATATTGCCCAGGCTGGAGTGCAATGGTGTGATCTCTGCTCACTGCAACCTCCACCTCCTGGGTTCAAGTGATTCTCCTGTCTCAGCCTCCCCAGTAAGTGTGATTACAGGTGTGCACCACCATGCCAGGCTAGTTTTTTGTATTTTTAGTAGAGACAGGTTTTTGCTTTGTTGGTCAAGCTGGTCTCAAACTCCTGACCTCAAATGATCCACCTGCCTTGGCCTCCCAAAGTGCCGGGATTACAAACGTGAGCCACCACATCCAGCCAAGTTCGTTATCTTTTCCCATTCGTAAATTAAGAGACAACAAAACATTTACCAAATTTATGAAAAGGTTTATTTTTTCTGCCATCAGAATGTTTTTGTTTTGTTTTCTTTTATCTATTTCTTGTTTTCTGGCTGCTTGCCACAGAATCTTTATTCTAGTTTTTATTCTAGTTGTCCAATTTGGTGACAGTGTTACTGGGGCTCCTTGCTCCCAGAGCTCCCAAGATGGTGGTAGGCCACTTCCAAAATGGTGGCAGGCCGCTTCCAAGATGGTGGCAAGTCTCGTGTTCTTTGACCTGGGGTTCTTAGCCTCACGGATTCCAAGGAATGGAATCTGAGGCCATGCAGTGAGTGTTATAGTTCTATTAGAAGCCGTGGGTCATGGAAGAGAACTGTGGAACCCAGTGACTAGTGTTCAGCTCGATTAGGATGAACCTGGGCACTTAGCTGTACAGGAAGGATGGCAAACCTTTAGCCTGATCGGGAGTGGCAACGGGCGCCTCCCTGGATCAGGAGCACAGCAGACACCCTGCCGGATCTGGAGGGACAGAAGTCAGCAGCGGGTCTGCCACAGCAGCAAACAGCAGTGGTGGACAGTGAGCGAAAGCTCGGCTCCAGTGGTAACTTAACACGGACCAGAAGAGAGTGCAGTTGCAAGATTTAATAGAGTGAAAACAGAGCTCCCATTCAAAGGGAGGGGACCCAAAGAGGGTAGCCGTTGCTAGCTCGAATGCCTGAGTTTATGTTCTGATCATTGTCCCTCCTGCTGTGCTCTCAGGCAATAGATGATTGGCTATTTCTTTACCTCCTGTTTTTGCCTAATTAGCATTTTAGTGAGCTCTCTTTACTACCTGATTGGTCGAGTGTGAGCTAAGTTGCAAGCCCCGTGTTTAAAGGTAGACGCGGACGCCTTCCCAGCTAGGCTTAGGGATTCTTAGTCGGCCTAGGAAATCCAGCTAGTCCTGTTTCTCAACAGTGGGTTTGTAGACATGAGAATAAAATCAACATGTATTTAGAAATAGAGTCTAGCAGAAAAGCAAGTTTCCACTCTTCATTAACCTACCTCTTCTCTCAACTTGAGAACAAGCTCAGTAACAGGCATGCTCGTCTCAATCAGTGCTCTGTATGTCTGTGGATCACCTAGTTTTCTTAGAAGTTAGGGAGTTTTCTTAGAGGTGTTCTGGAGTGCAATGTTTCTAGGGTTGCCTGATACAGTGGGGAACAAGAATCGTGGTGCAGAAAGACTTGGCATGGAGTTCTCTGAATGATTTACTGGTGAGAATTCTTAGTACAGATGTTTCACAGTTACCTCCTTGCATGATCATTGGATAGTGTCTCAGCTCACACATAAAAGACAAAGCAAGGCAAAGACCTGATGAACTCAACTAGAACAGATAAAATAAGCCAACATTAGAATTTAAAATTTTACAATGTAAATACACGCTGAAGAGAAGAATAAGCAAAAAATGCCTGCTCCTCCTGATTTTTGTTTCAGTCACCAAAAATGATAACACTGAAACAAAACAAGAGGGCTTAGATGACTACATTGGAAACTGTAGAGTACCCTTTTGCTGTGGAGCCCCTTTTAGACTGCAACTAAGTGGTTTTATATTCTACAACTCTAATATCAGGGAGGCAAGGCTGGAAGCCCCGTACCTCATCAGAACCTAGGAGGTACAGAAAATTGTCTTATGACAGCCTGCAGTGGGAGATATGGAAGTAAGTGAGTAAATGCCTCACCAGATCTTTGCAAACCTGCCATCCTGTTGTGTTTTTCTTGGAACATGATCACAAGACATCCTTCCAAGACTCAAATTAGCAGTGGCTCAAGCCTTTACCTATGTGGCCTATTCAGACGTGCTGAAGGTCAGCAGGGTGGCATGGTGGAGTTTTACCCTTACAGACGGCAGGTGGACTAGAGTGCAAGCAATAGAAGAAAGCCTGATTCAACAAAGCCCCAAGATATTTAAACAACAGTGCTCTCAAATGGTCCTTTATGAAGCACTTGACTGGCACCTCCAGGCTATATTCTCCAATTCTAATATACCCAGAGGCCTACTAACTTCTGTTTCTCTCTCCTTCAAGTCCTTCTTATCACTTTTCTCATCAAGTGCCCTTTGTTTGTCATAATAAACTCTCTAAAAAGCAAATCAATAATCCATTAAAACCAAAAAATAAAAACAAAAAAACATTTCATGGCATCAGCAACTGAAGAAGAAATGAAACACAAGAAATGAGAAAGTTATTAGTCTTGGCCTTCCTCAGTTCTCCAAAATGTATATCACATTTACTGCAGTGAAGGAAAATAGAGCAGAAAAGAAAAAAAAAAAAACAAGAAAGGGAAAGGAAAACTACCGTATCAGTATGTTAAAATATATTGAATTTGCATACCTTTCCTTATAAAGAATTTATTAACGGATTGGGTGGCATCAAAGGGTGAATGTGCGAAGAAGAGAGTCAAGAAGGAATTCACCTCTCTGATTTCAACACTGATTTGACTGCTTCTTTGTTCACTCATTGGTGCAAAGAATATTTATTTATATGTGTAATACTTATTATTACACATATTATAACAGCACCTAGAACTCACTAAGTTCTAGGTGCTGTTATAGACACAGGGATTGAGAAAGAATAATTCCTTTGTCTCTGCCATTCTAATTAATGGTAGCCCTTTAACTTAATTAAATACAAATGGCTTAAAGAGATAAAGGTAGGAGGTGGATATTGTTAAGCAATTTTACTAAGTATTTCTTCCTTACTTTTCTTTCAAGCTTATTCTCTCATGATTTTGCACTCTTGGGCTGCTCTGAAATTGGTCTGTCATTAGCCATTTGGATCAGATATTTCAAGTTGATATTTTTTTATTTAAAATTTTGCTTTCCTTGAAAGACTACATTTTGAATTGTTCTTCCTTTAATGGAGCATGACGGAACCAAGTCTTTACCCTGGAACTCTCTACTTAATGTGAATGGAATTCAGAAAGCTTAGATCTTTGACTCCAATTGCAGAGGAGCCAAAGAGAAGCATTGTTCTGTTTCCACACTACATCGGCCAATGACTCTACTCACTTCTTACTAATACCCTCCACTTTCTGTGGTTCTCAACAGGGGCACAACATGTACTGCTGCTTCTCATAATGATCAGGATGCTTTAATGGCATTTAGTGGACAGAGGTCAGAGATGCTATATGTCTTGCAATAACCAAGACATCTTCTTCAAAAAGAACATTTTCACCTTCGAATTCCAGTAGCATGGGAAAACACAAATGACACATGACATTCTCAGTTGAATGATTCTACCCTTCGTCTCTTATGATCCTCCCTCTCTTGGTTGTGCTGATCCAAGAATTTCACTAACTGTTTTGAGGGCTGCTATTATTCCCAGCCACCGCAGGTATAATCGTATAGAAGTCCAGGCCTTCAATCAGGATTTATTCAGTGATAACACTAGAATAATGGCTTCTATGGACTTACCATTGCAACAGGTACTATGATACAAGCATGATCAAGACATGATCATTGCTTAGCCTGTGCTCACAGTAAAATGGAGACAACAGAGATATGATCCAGTATTGATACCAGTGTAATAAGTGGATCCAGTTTATAATAGGTTTAAATCCTAATGACCTTTATGCACTCAATTGCAGTCCTCATACATGGAAATGCAATGTCTACTCTAGATGTTAACAAATAGGGAAATTTGAGGAAGATGTATGCTGTTTGGTATGCAGAGTGGTCAATATTATAAAATCATACATTTCTAAAAAAAAAAAAATCCACACAAAATAAAAAAGCAACAACAGTAGACCTACAATAGTGGTCCAGTTTTATCTCTGGGCAACAATTGGCCAGAGATGAGCTTCAGCTGCTGCCTTGAGATGAAGCATGAGTTCCAGCCTACCACAGTCCTCCTGTATCCAGCTTCATTCACAGGCTACCTGCCTGACTCCTATTGACATTCCGGTTTCCAACTGATGTAGATCATCAGGGATGATTCAGTACTTTTTTATATCAACCAAAAATTTGATTGATATACTTCTGCACAATTGCATATAAACATTACATTTTAGATTGTTTTCATATAATTATTGTTTTGCAGTGTTGTTGTTATGTAACTGTTTGTAAAGCATTTACTTTATGCTGTGTATGTTTTATATACTATAAATAATTTAATATATATAAGCAATTCATTTTGTATCAATATTACCTGTCTCAAAATGAAGTCTTAAGATTTGAAAAAAACTATTCTATTTGTCTGAGGTCATAGACTGTGTGATTAAATAGAGATTTTATCCCAAATCTGTCTGACTTAAAAACCTAAATCTGTCTAATCAATCTGCTTAACTTATTATATATGATTAAACTTGGGTTTTTTGTAGGTATTATAAATAACTTGCAAATTAAAACTGCCTATTTTAATTGATTCAAGATGGCTAAAATTAATTTCTTGATACCACAAAAAAAGCTTAAATCTCATTGCTAATCTTGGCTTTGCGAAAGTTATTTGATTTGCAATTATTTTAAAACTATGTGTGCTTCAAAGGAGAATAAACCTAGTATTTTGTGATTTCCCCTGTTAGACATAAAGAGGCCACTTACTCTTTTTCTTTATTTAACAAATATTGAATATCTACAATTTATTAGTCACTGTACAGGAGGAGCAGACACCGCAGGAAATGTATTTAACAGAATCCTTGCAAAACTTAAGATCTAGTTGTGGAAACAGAAAATAATAAAAATTATTTTCCATATTGCAATAATTTTCTGTAATGTAGTGATTTTCTGTAACGTCAAATAGTCACAATGTCTATGAATCAAAGAAAGCATTAGTCTGTCTTAGAAAGGGTGGTCTGGGCAGGCCTGTCAGATAAGTTGCCATTTAAAAAGATACCCAAATGAAACAAGGTCACAAACTGCAGGGAATCTTTAAAAAAAAAAAAAAAAGACATTTTAAGTTCTGAGACTAGAGTTCCCTGAAATGGGAACATGCTTACAGTCTTGGAGCAAAAATCAGGAGTTCAATGTAGCTGGAGGGGCAGAATAATAGGAGGTCAGATCATCTAGCTTGCATATGGGCAAAATGGGCATTATTGTGGTGGGAGGGGAGCTACTTTTCCACTCCTAATGTTTTCTGCCTGCAGTGGGAGATCCTGGCTTCCTACTGCCCTCTGCTCTGTGCCCCATGTGACCTAGGCAGGCAGGAACAATAGGAATTATTCTTCTGATTGATTGGTTTAGCAGAAGATGCTGTGCATGCACTGGTAATGTGTCTCTCTGTCTTTTTCTTTCTTGGAAACTAGTCTATCTGTAGTCAGCCTGTCTTTTCCATTTCTCTATTCCAGGTGTAAAGGGGGAGGTTCTGCCCAAGTGGGGTGTGGATAGGGATAGGATGCTGAAATTTTGAAAAATGAGCTCAAAAATCAATGAAAAACTACTCTTGCTCTTTTATTGTATATGTGGTGGGAAATCACTGCAGGTTCATTCTTACGTATTCAGGTTAATCAAAATTAAGTCTAAGAAATTCCAGCAAAGCAACTCTGAAATGTACTAAAGTTAAAAGACCGCCAAATGTGAAAAGATGGATCTTCCCTGACCTGGCTACTACTTAATACCTTGGTAAAGGAGAAAAAGGCACTTTCTCTGAGATAAGACTATCCTTACCCCTCCACCAATGGGTTGAGGTGTTTGGGCACTACCTCTGTCTATCTGTTACTTTTAATGATTTCCTTTTCTTTAAATTGTTAGAGAAAGGGCTCTCCTCTTTAGAGAAAGGAAAATACCAGAAATTCAGGGGCCTAAAATGCCCTATTCATGCTCTATAAGATTTTATCACATTGAATTACTTAAAAGATGAAATACTACATAGATCCAAACTGCGTAGGGATTCATTATCTCATGAACAAAATTCAGTATAGCTTCACCATGTATCCATCTCAGATAACAACCTAAGCATGAGTTAGTTAAGGATCTTGTCCTTTATATTTTCAACAATAAGTCCAGAACCTAGTAGCATGTCCGGAATATTTATCACATTGTTGATGAATGAATCAATATTATTGTGTATTTGTGTGAGAAGGAAATCTGGTTTAGCATCTGTTTCATTGTCCTAGTATTATGCATGTATAATGATCTACATATGGAAATGAGTGGATATTGCACTTTGTTTCCTGAGTTTTATGTTTAAACTATAAGTTTCATATATAACATTAATATTTTACATATTTTATAGGGATCCGTGAGTATATTAATTTTTGATAAACAGCAATTTCTATACACATTTAGAGCATAAATTTTGCTAAAATATCTCCCTTAGTGCTGCTTGAAGACATCTCACTTGTTGGCAATATGGAACCTACTTCCCAAAGTACATTTAACCCAGATTCCTGTCTAAAAACACAAAAGCAGATATGTGTCAACAGTAATTCAGAAAGAGTCAATTATAATATTTTAAACACAATATTTTAAAGAGATTTCTTAGGTATAAAATAAATGCAAATCAGTTTTGAAAGCAAAACCCATGTTCACAGTCTATTTCAACCAATATTTTGTATTAATAAATTCACATTATTGATGCCATTCAATACACTCAAATTTAATTTATATAGGTTATCTTTATCAATAAATGCATGAAATCTAATTAAAACTTATTTTTCAAGACCCAGATCAAATATGACTTTTTAGCTTTTCCTACTTCCCTATTTGTTAGAACTATTCTTTTTTGCTGCTTACTGCTACATATTCATTCATGTTTTAATTATTGTATATTTTTTAAAAATTAACCTACAAGATACTGCAGTGTTTTATCCTTAGTCCCTTTTTCCCATCTCATACCATATTGTAAGCTTGTAGAGGTTATTGTCAGAGTCCTACTCACTATCCTGTTCTTTTTCCTACCTAATACATCCAAACAAATAAGTTTGTTGGACTTAATGATCGGTAAAAATAGAAAATATGAAAAAAATCAAATATTGGAATTAATGCTAATTAAATGAAAATAAAACTAAACATTTATGCAATTCATAACGTTTGTAATCAGATTTGTAGTAAAAAAACAAAATAATTGAATTCCCTATGTGTTAGCCATAATGCTGAACATTCACATAATTATTTTATATTAAAATATTCAATATAAATCTACCAGGATTTTAATCTGATCACAATGTTCAAACTGGCTTGGCAAAGAAAGCTTACAATTCATTTTACAGTGATTAGTTTTCGTTCAGGCTTTGAAACTACCTATAATACACATTATGGTTTATTTTATCTTTCTTTATTTACCTCTCCCTCATCTATGTTTTCCTTGTTTTATCCTCTTTTCATACCCTAGCTCTGATGATTTTCAGGGAGAGTCAGATTATTAACTCCAATGATATCAAAGTGAAAAAAGAAAGCCCACATTTCAATGCTTATGGCATATAATACATTGATATAAAATTCACTAATAATCTTAGTTAATCTTACAAACAGGGTTATATTTAGATTGTAATGATGTGTTATCAGACTAAAAATTGGAATTGATTACATTTTTAAAATATGAGACAAAGAGTTCTTAACACACTCATCTACTTAATATAATAAATTGAATAACATCATTAACCAGTAACTTCAAAACATTCAGAGGATCAAATTTTGAGAATATTAAAAATCTCACAGGTTATTTAGACCTTTCATTTTGTTAGAGAGAAGAAAAGCTGGAAGACAACTTTGAGTTGTCAAATTGTATATTTTTAGGACTTTAAATATTTTACAGATTTTAAATACAATTACATCATTGCATAGAGAAGGGCACTGAACACATAGCATGTTACATATCTTGTTAAAGATTACTGTAAAAGTAAAGGGAAAGGTGGGCCTAGAACTCTAGGTCTGTTTTTCTGGCTCTTATCCATATATTCATTATGGTAGGGGGTGTTCTGAGAAAAGTTCCTTTATTTTGTTTTTCAAAAAGACAAATACATGCTGTAAAATAGTTTTTTAAAGTACAAAAAATTATATAGACTTTTGTAAAATTATCCACTCAGATATTATTATAGTCTATGTTTGGTATTTTTCCAAAGATATTTTGTTTTCCTAAGACAAACTTAATTTTTTTGTCACTTGGGAGTGACAAAATTTTTCATTTCCTTCAGTTGAATCATTGGATACAAGATATTTTACATATTGACTTATTTGGGTCTAGAATTTACATACAGGTGTATTTTATCTTATTTTCTTTTGGCACACCTGGCCAATCTCAGGCTCAGATAATGAAGATTTACAGCATGTAGGGTATTTTAAAATAGCTGTTAGAAATAAAAGCTAATTAAACCGAGAAAAGAAAACTGTTTTGTTGCATTATTAGGAGTAAATGAACTTTAAAACATTTCATTTTAAGAAGAATTAATGTAAGTAGCTCTATAGCAGATGATTCATTTTTAAATGTTTCTTCATTTAAATGAATTTGCTTGGACTATTTAAACGATTCTGCATGCTTGGGTGAGATTTTTTAAAAAGTACTTACGTGTTCTAACTTTTTGAATTTTTACTTTAAAGCCCTCCAAGCATGAACAAGAACTGAAAATAAAGGCAAATATGCAAAGGATAGCTCAAATTTATAGTATTACTGACATGTGATGGATGTTGCCCCACATAAACATAATCACATAAATTATTTGAAGGTGATGACATAACATAATAAATCATGTTATAAATTACTATTTTCCCAGACTGCATTTGAAAGTTTTTACTGTGGAGGAAAGTTCATGATATCTCATATGTCATGAATGATAAGTCATGAATAAGGGGATGATTTAAAATGCTTAATCTTAAGTGTTTCTAAAATTAGCACACTTATTTACTATTGTAAAGTTAAATCTTGTAGGATCAACCAAAAACTTCAGAAAACTCTTTAAATGTTTACTCATTGCAAAATGGATAGGTCTCAAACTTCTCTTTTAAGCGTATGATGTGCTGTGCTATGAATTTTGAACCATTTGGTAAACTTATAACAAATAAATCAATTTTAAGGGGAATACACCAGGCTAGGCCTCCAGAAGAAATTCTTCTCTTAATTAAATCCTCTTAAATCCTCTACCTTTTTATGGTGTGATTATCTAAGCCATTAAGCTTGACATATTTCTACTATTATAATTATTAATATCTTTATGATTTGTGTTATTGTTCTTTACATCACTCCAGGGAAATATCTAAAAGTCAAATAGGCAGGGCGCCAATAATTTCCAAGGATTTTTATGCTAGGTGACTTATAATAAAAGGGCATTCCTAGGCATTTGCAACAACAAAACAGAATACTGATGCCAGCTCTAGATATGAAGAAGCCCACCATTGGAGTTGCTGTAATTTTGGTAAAAAAAGAAAGGAGCACTAGAAGGAGCTCATTAAGCCAAGGTGACATACAGTTTCTCACATGTGGGGTTCAGAAGAACCTGTTTCTATAGGATAAAAGGAAGAAGTTCATACTCCCAGACAGCATTAACTTAAAGCAATGTACATACAGAGATTCACACTCACGCAATTGGTGAAAAGTAAATATATATATATGTGTGTGTGTGTGTATATATATGTATTTGTATATATTGACTTTTTGTATCTTAGTTGAAATATTGATACAAAATATTAGTGCTTCAATATCTTCTGTATTTCAAAGATGGTTTTACTGGAGTTTAAAGACACTAAGGTAGATAGTTAAGATTCGATAGGAAAATATATTAGATAAAAAGAAAAGCCAGCAACAAAGAGAGCAGACCTTTTGGGTTGTTTTAACATAAGTATGTAAGTACCATTTAACCCCCAAATTCATGCGTTAATTTTAAAGACTATAGATAATGTCAGCCACTGTAACTCAAAGGTTTCTATATTCATTCCACCAGGCATGGTGGCTCACACCTGTAATCCCAGGACTTGAGGAGGCCGAGGCCTCCTTGATCACGAGGTCAGGAGATCGAGATCATCCTGGCTAACACGGTGAAACCTCGTCTCTACTAAAAATACAAAAAATTAACCGGGCGTGGTGGCGGGTGCCTGTAGTCCCAGCTACTCAGGAGGCTGAGGCAGGAGAATGGCGTGAACCCGGGGAGGCAGAGCTTGCAGTGAGCCGAGATCGCGCCACTGCACTGCAGCCTGGGCGACAGAGCGAGACTCCGTCTCAAAAAATAAATAAATAAATAAAAATAAATAAAATAAAAAGTTTCTATATTCATTCCATACCACTTTGTTACGAAGTTGCTAAGGGGGTTAGACCTGTGAGAGAAGTAAGATACATTGGTTAGCACAATCTTTGATTTGAGATTTATGTAAATAGAGGTCATATTAGAATCTTTGAATATTCTAAAAAAAAAAAAAAAAGGTTGTGCATTGAAAGAAAGTTTAAAAGAAAAGTTACCAAGAAGGAACCTTGCCTCCTCTCTCTCATTGTCTCTGTCCTCCTCTTCCATCCTACTCCAGAGAGTATTGAAGGAAACGTAGAGAAAAAGTTGAAATAGTATTCTTTCTCAGATACTCATGTACAACAAAAAAAATTCTTATCAAATTATAAAATAAATGCCAGGCAATATACATAGTATTCTGGGGAAGCAATCTGTGACTTGAAGTACACAAAATAGCACCACAAAATTTTAACTGATATAAAATAATAAACAGTATTAATGAATAGGGAATGAATATTACTTCAGTCAAATTCACTTAGTAAACATAAAGGGAATGGGTTCAATATTTTTTAATTTAATAGGATGATTAAATTAATGAATTTTAATTAAGTATTTTTCTCTTTTATTTCAGTCTTTAGTAATTTACCATAATAATGGAGGAGAAACTGTATAATTTAGTATTTCTTACTGCTGAAATGACAGAGGGAAAATTAGGAAGTAAAGCTCTACAGCTGAGAGCATAATGTTTTTCCCAAATAGGGTAGCCAGATAAAATAGAGAAAGCTCAGTGAAATTTGAATTTCAAATAAACAACAATTAGTTTTTTTAGTATATGTATGTTCCAAACATGGTATTGGATATAAATACTTGTAAATCAATGAAAATTACTGAGGTGAGTCTCAATCATTTCAGGAGGTTTATTTGCCAAAGTTAAGGACCCATGCCCAGGAGACAGGCCTGTGCCTTTTGCAGAAGATGATTTTGAGGGCTTTAATACTTAAAGGGAAAAGGGCGGATATGGGCAAGAGAGGAATAAATGTTAAAAAGGTGTGGGCAGATAAGAGAAAAACTGTTGCATTCTTTTGTGTCTTTGATCAGCCTTTTACCAAATACACAATTTACATGTGAGAGGTGGGTAGAGGTGTAGTTATTTATGCCTTAGTCTGGTTCAGGGAATCTGCATTTTTACATAAGATAACATAAAGAATAGGGCAGAGGGAGCAATCAGATACGCATTTTTCTCAGGTGAGCAAGGGAATGACTTTGAGTTCTGTTCTTTGTCCCTCACCTGTGAAGATAAGCTATAAATTTATATTGCCAGGGTTAAATTCAACAGAACTGTTTTAGGGTAAATATCTTAGGACCACAAGGAATTTCCTTGTGGGAAAATTGTGAGGGAATTATGTAGCTTTTTATCTTTGTAGCTATCTTATTTAGGAACCAAATGGGAGGCAGATTTGTGTGACCCAGTTCCCAGATTGACTTTTCCCTCTGGCTTGGTGAATTTATGGTCTCGAGATTTATTTTCCTTTCACATCCTAAAAAGATACATGTTGTTTATCTCAAGTTCAAATTTTAACTGGGCACACTATTTTAATTTGTTAAGTCTGGTGTTCCAACAACTAAAGAGTTTCTGAGATCTTACCTTAAGTTCTAAATACATGTTTTTCAGTTTACCTCAAGCTGAAATAAATATGCTGGTTCAGAATTTGTGACTATGCCTTTGTAAAAAGAAAACAAAATCTCGGGACCCCAATTCACTATGCAAATAATAATAATAAGCTGAAAACTGAGTCTTGCAAGAAACTGCCTTTCCTTTTGTTCCTAAGCAGATAGCTACAGATTAAATATTTAAAGGTTAAATATGTCCCCAAGTAGCTACTCTAAGTTCACCTTATCTTATGTCAAGTGCTAGTTTGTTGAGTGCTAGATGAATATGTAATTGACTATTTCCCTACCTGCTCCTTTTCTCTTCCAACATGTGGATTTCCACACCTTCCTTAGTTCTCTGCCAGCAACTTGTTCCCCTTTAAATATCAAAGCCCTCAAAATTATCTTTGGAGAAAGGCACAGACCACAGACTGTTGCTGTGATTTCGTGTTTATTTCTTCTGGTAGGCATGTTTTTAACTTTGACAAAATAAACTGGTAAATTGATTGAGACCTTTTGGTTTACACCCTTGTAGATGAATCATCTACTTCCTAAATACCAAGGGAAAAACAAGGAGGTAAAGGAATCATAGGTTTTATCCTCAATATGAGAAAGAGGAATAAAATTATGCCTATGCTGTGAGCATTGGAAATGATAGAGGCATATACTAATGTATTGAAAATCATCAGTGGAAAGAAAATAAATGAAGTGGTACAGTTTGTACACAGACTCTGTGACATTTTGTCTGCAATTGTAATCAATGAGAAAAATATTTTTTGCTATCCAGCCATTTTCTCACATATAAACCACAAATTCCTTATTTATAATGAAAGCTTTTTGTTCCCATGTTCTAATATACAAAAAATGAAAATGCACATGCTGTCAATGTGGTTATTAAATAAAGGATTTTCCCCCTAGTGACATTCATTTTGTATTATTTTGTTGTTATGAATGAATGAATATGTTTTTGTGAAGTGAATTGGCACAGCTAGAGATTATTGCTAAACCTTTTTTATGTTTGCAATACATCCATTGTAAAGAATGGAAGCTACAATTTGTTTGCGTGCGTTTCTCATTTTGCTTTATTTCCCACCCCCGCCATTTCAGGTTACTTCACTACTAACAAGAACAATAATGCCAGAGAAGAGATAGCTTCAATGAGCCTGCATGATTGCTTTTCCAACTAAAATGAGTAGAAAATGAAAACACTTTAAATGAAGTGTCTGAAATAAACATTTAATTTGGGATAAGACAGCAACCGCATATATACCACCATATCAAATATTGAAAGAGCATTTATTGAAGATTTGAAAGACTCATTTGTGGGAAAATATATGTAGCTCTAAAAGTGAGCTGCTGAGAGTAAATATGTAAAACCACATTTAAGCAGCATGCAATTAACGTAAATTTATAATAGAAAAAAATGAAAAACATGGTGAGATTTTGGTGAATTATGATATTTGAACAAGGGACTGTTTTCTTTTTCTTCAAACAGGAAGCTAGCTGTGACTGCGTGCTCCTTAATGAACTGTAGATTTCAAAAAACAAAAACAAAAAAAATGAGGTGATATAAATGCATTATATTAGGAAAAGTAGTTAAATTATTTTCTCAGTTTCTTTTATATCTTGAATACCATTTCCTTTTCTCTTTCAAATGCTTAAATACCTATCTCCCTAGCCCTTCTACTTTTATCTTTCTTTACTGTCTTCTCTATTTTAAGTACTGCTTTTCATTTTTTCCCCGATGTTCGCATATTTTCTGACATAAATATTTGTTTCTGTCCCTTGTTCATTATTTGGAATCCATCTCACCTCACCTGAACCTCTTGCTTATTTCTAGCCACAGGATTAATTTTTGCCATTATATCCAAGGATTATAAATATCTGTGTAACTACTAAAACCATGACCCTAATGGGGAGAGAGAAAATTTATATTTATGATAAAGAAATAATATTGTCATTTAGAGTTCTTTAGAAATCATAAAGGATTTAATAAAATTTTATAGTAATAATAGTTGATTTTATTAGTAGTATTATTAGAAATGCTGATGTCACATCACACATTTCTAGAATAACTTTCTAACAGGTTAACCAAGTAACTAACTATAACTGTATATAATACATAACTCTAACTATATTTAAAGTGATTTCAGTTACATAAGGATGGGCTAGTTGAATTAAAATATGTTGTATATACTTTCCAAAAAAACTAAATAACAAACACATTGTTGAATGATAAACATGTCAAAATCTTAAGCAATTTCTCTTTCTCTTAATAGTGCTATATTTGCCAGGCAGAGAGAAGGTGATTACCCATGAAAACATTTATGGAATAAAAATGGAAGCTGTCATGACTAATTCCAAAGCCTAAAGATGTTTGCCAAATAGAGTTTCCAAATGATTTACTTTTGTTGCCAATTTTTTTGGCTAATATAAGTTTTACATTATTTTTTGCTGGTTCGGCATTCGGAAGCTCAATTAAAGTTAAAGAAAATGGAATTTAAAATGACAAAATGGCTCTACTTTTCTGATATGCTATTATCAAGACAAACAGGCATATTGTTCCTTTCTGCTTATTTCACACATAAAATCTTCAGTCACAATGTGGTTTATTGTATTCTCACATTTTCCTATATAAAGATAGATAGTTTGTATCTACACTATTAAAGTTTCTAAATCTTTTAAATATTTTTAGATTCATAAACTATTTTCCAATAGTTTGTAATGGAATGCATGTTATTCTGTACAATGATATTATTTCTGATGATAAAACAGAAATTAAATTCTAATTATGAAGCATAGGTCAAAAGCCTCTTCTGTCACTTAATTTTGATTTCGTCTTCATTCTACCAAAATGTTAATCATCTCTATTTCAAACAATAAAACTATAAACAAGTCTGATAGACTGAAGGACATATTAACGGTTATCACATTACTATAGAGGAAACTTCATATTCCACTTCATTGCAAAACATTTTTGACATTGATTACTAAATTTTACTGAACTAAATTTTGTTTTTAAATTGAACCAAAAAAATAATCTAATTTAAATTGATTAGAAATTACCTGGTTTATTTAAAACCTCTGTTAGCAGACTGATTACCCTTTATCCCATTTTAAATGTTCAGGAATCTGTTTTGTATCTCCTTTGTACGTTTCTTTGAATTTTTTTGGACTTCTTTTAAATGTAATCTTAAAGACATGATCATATCAATTTTGAAGCTTAGATTTTATTTGAAAGGCATGCAAACACATTAGAGATTTGCTCCCTGACTACCTTAATAACAAAACTGACATTATCTTGAACAAATAATGTTTAGTTATATTTAAGGAGAAAATTCACAGACTATATTGGGCACATCATATCACCTGCTTCTAAAGTTGGGTAGAAGTACATCTATGTGAGAGACGCTCACAACCAAGTGACATGTTGATGTTAGAGTTTGGAGAGAAAATAGAGGAAGGATATACTTAGTAGACTGGTCCACACTGTAGCCAAATCTTTAGTCTAAAACTTACAGCACCAACAGTTAGATTGTAGAATAGGATGGTGATCAAGCCACACTTTTCCTTTTGAAAAAGATTGCTTCAAAATGGAAATACTAGCTCCTCAAAGAGTGTATGTACACTCCATGCCTTCATTCTTCTCAGAAAGTCTTTGCTCTTTCTTCACTTATTGATACAGATACTTGTAAAAGGTAAACTAGCTGACAATCCTTTCATATAAATATAAAACAGTGCTTCATAATGAGATAAGACAGACAAGATGGGTCTTCAAAAATTCATGGAAAATGTATATTATGAAAAACTATGTAAGGATTTCAAAATTTTTCTGCACCAAAGTAAACTCATTAAAATTTTGCAAAAATGTCTGAAGAGGATCTAGTGTGGAGCACTAAGAAATATATCAGTTTGAAACAAGCCACTATCAGAGCAACATAAATTCTGTTAAAATTGAAGCAAGACCAAACATCAAATTTTTGGTGAAGCTGGGGTGAAAGAATGGTGATGTGGTTTGGCTTTGTGTTCCCATCCAAATCTCACCTTGAATTGTAATGGTCACAATCCCCATGTGTCGAGGACAGGACCTAATGGGAGGAGATTTGATCATGAGGGTGGTTCCCCCATGCTTTTCTCATGATAGTGAGTGAGTTCTCATGAGATTTGGTGGTTTTATAAGGCAGTTTTTCCTGCCCTTGCTAGCTCTCTTTTCTGCCACCATGTAAAGGAAGTCTTTGCATCCCCTTCACCTTCTGCCATGATTGTAAGTTTCCTGAGGTTTCCCCAGCCATGTGGAACCGCGAGTCAATTGAACCTCTTTTCTTTATAAATTACCCAGTCTTGGACAGTTCTTTATAGCAGTGCAAAGAGAAACTAATACAAGTGGTGAAATCACTGACACTTTACAAAAAGTGTATGGGGACAAGGCCCTAAATAAATCAGCAGCTGAGAAACAGATAACTCATTTTAGGAAAAGGAAATGTTGAAGATGAAACCTGCAAGAGTACACCATCCACATCAATTTGCAACATAAAAATTAATTTTCACGCCCTATGACACGGTGTGGATTTGTGCCCCTTCCCAAATCTTATGTGGAATTGTAATCTCCAGTGTTGGAGGAGGGGCCTGGTGAGAGGCGATTGGATCATAGGGATAGATTTTCCCCTCGCTGTACTCCTCATAATGAGTTCTCATGAGATCTGGTTGCTTAAAAGTATGCAGCAGTCCCCCTTCCCTCTCTCTTCCTCCTGCTCCAGCCAAGTAGGATGTGCCTGCTTCCCCCTCCCATCATGATTGAAAGTTTCCTGTACAGTCTGCAGAACCATGAGCCAATTAAACCTCTTTTCTTTATAAATTACCCAGTCTCAGGTAGTTCTTTATAGTAGTGTGAGAACAGACTAATATACACTAATTGGAGAGTATCAACAATTAAGAGTAGAAGCAATAGCCAACACCGTGGACATCTACATTGATTCAGCTTACACAATTTTGACTGAATAAATGAAAGTTAAGCAAACTTTTTTCTCAAGGGGTGGCAAAACCATTGCATCCAGATCAGATATAGACGAGAGCAGAGCTTTCAATGAAAAGTCTAAACAAGTGGGATCAAGATTCTGAAGCTTTTTCTCAATTTTAGTTTTTTAAGCGATTGTAACAGAAGGGCCAGGCATTGTGGTTAATGCCTGTAATCCTAGCATTTTGGGAGGCCAATGTGGGAGGATCTCTTGAGGCCAGGAGTTCAAGACTAGCCTGGGCAACATAGCAAGACCCCATTTCTATATATATATATATATATATATATATATTTTTTTTTTTTTTTTTTTTTTTTTTTAAGTAGACAGGTATGGTGTCATGTGTCAGTAGTCCCATCTACTTGTGAGGCTGAGGCAAGAGACTTGCTTGATCCCAGGATTTCAAGGCTGCAGTAAGCTACAAAGGTGCCACTGCAGTCCAGCCTAGATGACAGAGTAAGGCCCTGCCTCAAAAAAAAAAAAAAATCTAATAGGAGGTGAAAAAATGACTTTACCACTACAATCTTGAAGATAAAACACAATCAAAGCAATGACTGTCAAGAGGTGAAAGCAGTCCAGTCAAAGCAAAAGTGGACCAGTTGAGAGCAGGGATAACAGCGACAGTTTGATTGTTATGCTAAATGCATTTTGCCTGTTGACTTTCTGGAGTGCCAAAGAATGATAATATCCACTTATTATGAGAGTGTTTAGGGAGAGTTAGCTGAAACTTTAGCACAATTTTGCCTGGGGAAACCTTTATCAGAGAGTCCTTCTCTTCCACAACAATGCTCTCACCAAACATGGGCAATTTTGTGTGAGTTTCAATGTGAAATCATTAAGTATCCACCTTATGGTCTTAATTTGCCTCCTTCTGACTGCTTTTTTTCCTTAATCTTAAAAAATTTCTAAAGAATATCCATTTTTCTTCAGGTAATAATGTAAAAAAGACTACATTTACATGGTTAAATTCCAAGGACCCTCCGTTCTTTAGGGATGAACTAAATGGCTGGTATCATCACTTGCCAAAGTGTCTTGAACTTTCTGGAGCTTATGTTGAGAAATAAAGTTTATATTTATATTTTTATCTTTTAATTTCATTTTCCCATGAACTTTGTGAAGTCCCCCTGTATGTGGCCATTTTTGGTTCTTCATTTTCAAACTAATATCTCAGACATCAGGGTCTCTGGGCAATTGAGAGACATACTCATAATGTGCACATTCTCCCCTCTCCACTCCTACGGTCTCTACATTCCTTTTAATACTTCCTGTGGTTCTGGTACTCTCAATAGCATTTGTGTTACCTGTGACACTGACAAGGGTCCTGATCTATATCAAGCTTCTCTGCTTGTAGGCAGGTAAGACAAAACAACTGGGGCAAAATCTTTGGACATAGTCTAGAGTTTGAAGCAGAGACTTTTCAGAGTCACCTACTAAGATGCCCTATTCTCTGCACTCTTGTTAAAATAGATTTCTTAGCCCAGTTTTCCTTTGTGGACTGAGTTTTCAGAAATAAACAGCTGGGATGCAAGACATATCCTGCATGGCAGGACAAAGCTTTGTCTATCTCAGCAAAGAGCATCCAGACGCCTGTCAGCATGGAACAGCTCTCCAGATTAAATACAGTTTTTTTTCTTAAGCATTTTCTCACAGAGATATTGCTTTGATATTGTGCGTGTGTATGTGTGTGATATATATATGAGACAGTGTTTTGCTATGTCAGCAAGGCTGAATGTGAACTCCTGGGCTCAAGCGATCATCCCACCTCAGCCTTCTGAGTAGATGGGGATACAGATGCATGCCACTGCATCCAGCTGTCATATTGTATTTAATTTTTATTTGGAAAATAAAAACCCATAAAATTGCCCCTACATTTTTACATCTATAAAAAGGATGTTAAGGTGACTGTTAGTTCATTTTATTGAACCAGCATTATACTGAAAATGCCCCAGATAAACAATCATGCATTAGAAACAGAATCTAGAAGCCCACATGTTAGCAGGTAATAGCCAGCAGCATTGGACTGTGCCACTCCAGGATTGTATATCTTCAATGGTAACCAAATATCAGAACTAGAAATTGATCTCCCAGGAACCCCTGAATGGCAATTCTATACTTCTGTGACCTCTTGAATCTCAGGCTGTTCACGTACAAACTGAGACATATGCAGACTTCCCTTTGGATGCAAAGAGAAGTCTCATATATGGAGCCAGAAGTTGACTTTGAAATCTGAGAGCAGAAATAAATTGGAAATAGCTAGCATATAAAGAGATTTGATTCTAATTAATAGAGACCTTCAGCTACTATAGTATCAGCCTCAACCCAGACTGAATTCAAAAGTGTGACAGTATCCAAGGTTAAAATTTTCCAGCTATGCCTTTAGAGAGATTCCTGAAACCATAAACAAGTAGGCATTGATAGATATCATTTTAAGGGACTTTGGCCAACAGAATCTATCATACTATTGTCTACAGAGAACTGAACGTATTTGAAGACTTTATTAAGTTGTTATGATACCTAAAGAAAGGAATAGCGCTGTATGTATAGACCACCTACTTGAATAAATAATCATTTTACCTACTCTAAAGTTAACTTTTCACTGAAGATCCAGTGATTTCAAATGTACTTAATATGTCAAGCTAGTCTATGTTGAATCTATCTATAGCCTACTTTCACTGAAACATTTTTGCATTCCAGACTATTAATTTTAGAACAAGGTCTGGGACTTGATAAAAGTCTTGTTGCTGTTTGCAGCAAAATGTAGTGATAATAATATAACAAATATAAATTAACCATGTCCTTTGATGCTACAAACCATAAGTACCTGCATACAAACCGTAAATCTTTCTTGAACACTACTGACATGGTTTAGTCCTGTGTCGCCTCCCAAATCTCCTGACAAATTGTAATCCCTGTGTGGCAGGGGAAGGACTTGGTGGGAGGTAAATGGATCATGGGGGTGAATTTTCCCCATGCTGTTCCTGTAATAGTGAGTGAGTTCTCATGAGATCTGATGATTTAAAAGTGTAGTACTTCTCCCACCTCACTCTCTCTCTCTCTCTCCTGCTCTGCCATGGTAAGATGTGCTTGCTCCCCCTTCACCTTCTACCATGATTGTAAGTTTCCTGAGGCTTCCCAGTCATGCTTCCTGTTAAGCCTGCAGAACCGTGAGTCAATTAAACCTCTTCTTCATAAATTATCCAGTCTCAGGTAGTTCTTTATAGCTGTATAGTGTAAGAACAGACTAATACCACTACTTTTAAGAGATATCCAGAAGCCCAATACTAACCAGTGCTACCACCCTGGTCAGAAACACAGTTGCCTCTTACCTGTATTATTTTAGTAGCCACCTAGCTGGCCTCTGATTCCACTTTTATTATCCATCCTCCAATTCTCAATATAACAGCAATATAAGTTCTTTAAAAATTTTCCTTAAATTAGAATACTCCTGTTCAAATGCTCTAATGGTTCCCATTTTCACTTACAGTTTAATAAAGAGTTTACAGCTAACTGCCTGTGCAATTCTATGCAATCTGGCTTCTAAACCATTTCCATTTCTCTCTTTCTTAATTACCTTCACTAGCCACACTGTCCTGTTGCTGCTTTAAATAACTTCTCTTAGGCATTTTACCCTCACAGTTCCCTTGCCTTGGATATTATTTTCTCAGTTATTTGTATAATTAATTATTGCCTAACCTCCTTTAAATGTTGCCCAAATGTTTCTTTTTTTACGTGGCATACAGACCCTTCACTCTTTCTTATCCATTCTTGTACCTATTAACTTCCTTTACATTTTTCTTTAGTATATTTCAGCCTCTACCATATTGTGTCATTTACTTTTGATTTTTATTTCTTGTTAATTGTCTGTCTTCACATGTTACATTGTAGAAACAGTATCTCATGTATAGTAGGTTTTCAAATAAGTACTTATTCATTTAATTAGTGAATGGCATCAGATATTACATTATCTACAGGGATGAGAATAGCCAAAAAAAACTTACTAATTTAAAACTTTTAAAATTGAGAAATTTGTCTGCCTTGTGTGTGTCTTTATGTGTCTGTGATATATACATTGCTATGGATTTAACTGTGTCTTCCTAAAATGTGTATGTTGAAGCCCTAACTCCTAAAGTGCTTGTATTTAGAGATAGGGTTTTTAGGAAGCAGTGAAGGCTAAATGAGGTCATAAGCTTGGGTCCCTAGTCTGAAAGGATTGATAGCCTTATAAAAAGGTAAGAGAGAAAGATCTTCATCTTCCCTTCTCTCTCTCTCTCTTTTTGTCTGCCATGTAGACACAGCCAGAAGGCCATAGAAAGCCAAGGAAAGAGCCCCAACCAGAAACTGAATCCTGGTGGAATCTTGATCTTGATCTTAAAATTTTCAGACTCCCAAACGATGAGAAAATAAGTTTCTGTTGTTTAAGCGACACAGTCCGTGGTATATTTTATGGCTGTCCAAACTCATTCATATATACATATATGTGTATTCCATGTTTGTATGTTTGCGAATTTTGAGACACTGTCATAACCTGATCTTAATTTGGTAGCATATTTGGCCCAGTATTCTAATGTTTTCTAGAAATAATCCTTGAGAACTTCTATTTGAAGTGGCACAGCGTGTCACTTTAAGTCTATCATAAATATTAAATGTTGATATTAATTATGCTTTTTGGACTCTGGAAAAATCTACCATACTACCCAATAGAATCTTCTACAATCCCAAAAGAAACTCATACAAATGGAAAAAATTTTAAAATAACATATTTTAGGGGCTGGGTGCAGTGGCTCACAATGCTTATAATGCCAACCCTTTGGGAGGCCAAGGTGGGAGGACCGATTGAGCCCAAGAGTTGGAGACCAACCTGAGCAACCTACATACTGAGACACTGTCTCTACAAGAAAAAGAAAAAAAGGAAACTAAATTAGTCAGGTGTGGTGGCACATACCTGTAGTCGCAGCCACTTGGGAAGTTGAGGCAGGAGATTGTTTGAGCCTAGAAGGTTGAGGCTACAGTGAACTATAATCGTACCACTGTGCTCCAACCTGGGTGACAGAATGAGACCTTGGCTCAAAACACACCCACACACACACACACACACACAAACTCACACATTAGGGAGAGAACTAGTTTTGATTAACTCAATCCTCTTCACCTTAGATTAAGTAAAGTACAGTTGATGCTTGAATAACAAAGGTTTGAATTGTGTGGGTCCACTTACATGCAGATTTTCCTTGACCTCTTCCATCTCTGAAATGGAAAGTCCAACCTTCCTCTTCCTCTCTTCCTCAGCCTACTCAACACAAATATGATGAGGATGAAGACCTTTGTGATGATTCAGTTCCAATAAATGAATAGTAAATATATTTTGATTATGATTTTTAATAACTTTTCTCTAGCTGACTTTATTGTAAGAAGACAGTATATTTCACTCCCCTAACCCCCAAGTTGTTCAAGGGTCAACTGTATTTACATTCAACACATTATTAAATTAAATATAAAGGGTTTGAATCATTTAAAAGTTTAAACTTTTTTATTGATAAATAATAGTTTTACATATTTTTTGAGTACATGTGATTTTTTTACATGCATAGAATTTGTAATGATTCTAGGTATTTAGGGTATAAATCACTTTGAATATTTATTATGTCAACATTTTGGAAAATTTCTTTTCTAGTTATTTTGTTACTTTTATTATTATTTTTTTTTTTGAGACGTAGTCTTGCTCTGTTGCCCAGGCTGGAGTGCAATGGTGCAATCTTGGCTCACTGCAGCCTCTGCCTCCTGGGTTAGAGCAATTCTCTGCCTCAGCCTCCCGAGTAGCTGGGATTACAGGCACCCGCCCCCATGCCTGGCTAATTTTTTTGTATTTTTAGTAGAGACAGGGTTTCACCATCTTGGCCAGGCTCATCTTGAACTCCTGACCTCGTGATCCACCCACCTCAGCCTCCCAAAGTGCTGGGATTACAGGTGTGAGCCCTTTTGTTACTTTTTATATAAGGCATACAGATCTTTCATTCTTGTTCATCCGTTCTGGTAGCTATTAATTTGTACCTGTTAATTGTACAAGGTAATAGAGTGTATTGTATATTAATAGGTACATTCTTGTTCATCTGTTCATCCTACTAATAAGTAATAGGTACAAGAACAGATAAACAAGAATGTACCTATTAATATACAATACACTGTTGTTGACTACACTCACCCTACTCCGCTATCTAACATTAGAACTTGTTATTTTAATCTAACTTTATGTTTGTACACATTAACCAACCCTTCTTTATCCAACCTCCACACCCTGTCTACCCACACACACTTCCCAGCCTCTGGTACCTATCATTCTACGTTTTACATCTATGAGATTAACATTTTTAGCTTTCACATATGAATAAGAACATGTGATATTTGTCTTTCTGTGCCTGACTTTTTTCACTTAACATAACGACCTACAGTTACATCCAGGTTTCTGAGAATAACAGGATTTTATTCTTTTCTAAGGCCAAATAGTATTCCATTGTGCGTATAAAGCACATTTTCTTTATCCGTTTGTCCAATGATGGATGCTTAGTTTGATTCCATCTCTTTGCTATTGTGAACACTGCTGCAATAAACATTGGGGGGCAATAAACATGAGAGTACAGGTATTCATTTGATCTACTGATTTTCTGTCCTTTTGATAGATACACAGTGGGAGAACTGCTGGATAGTATGGTAGTTCTATTTTTCATTTTTTTTTTTGGAGAAATTTCTATACTGTTTTCCACAGTGGCTGTATAAATTTACATTCTCAGCAACAGTGTATAAGAGTTCCCTTTTCTCCACATCCTTGCCAGGATCTGTTACTTTTTGTCTTTTTAATAATAGTCATTCTATTATTATCTTGGGTAAAATGATATCTCAGTGTGGTTTTAATTCCTATTCCCCTGGTGATCAGTAATGTTGAGCATCTTTGAATGTACCTGTAAGTCATTTATATGACTTTTTTTGAGAAATGTCTATTCATGTCCTTTGCCTACTTTTTAGTGGGATTATTTGTGTTTTTACTGCTGAGTTGTTTGAGCTCCTTCTATATTCCTGATATTAGTGCCTTGTTGGATGAATAGTTTGCAAGTATTTCCTCTCATTCAACAAGTTGTCTCTTTACTCTGTTCATTGTTCCCTTTGCTGTGTAGAAGATTTTTAATTTAATGAAGTCTGATTTGTTTATTTTTGTTTTTGTTTCCTGGGCTTTTAAGGACTTAGCCATAAAACTTTTACCTAGACCAAGGTCTGAAGGCATTTCCCCTGTGTTTTTTTTCTAGTAGTTTTATAGCTTTGAGTGTTACATATAAGTCTTTCATTAATCTTGAATTAACTTTTGTATAAGGCAAGAGATAGGGGTCCAGTTTCATTCTCCTGAAGATGATTATCCAATTTTCCCAGTATCATTTATAGAAGAGCTTGCCCTTTCCCCAATGTATAGTCTTGGCACCTTCGTTGAAAATTGATTGGTTGTAGATTGATGGATTTATTTCTGGGTTCCCTATTCTGTTCCACTGGTTTTTGTCTGTTTTTATACGAATACCATTCTTTTTCATTGCTGTAACCTTGTAATATATTTTGAAGTCAGGTAATCTCATGACTTGTTATTGGTCTGTTCAGGTTTTCCTTTCTTTTCTTTTCTTTTTTTTTTTTTTTGAAATGGAGTTTCGTTCTTGTTGCCCAGGCTGGAGTGCAATGGCACAATCTCACTGGAATCTCCGCCTCCCGGGTTCTAGCAATTCTCCTGCCTCAGCCTCCCGAGTAGCTGAGATTACAGGCATGTGCCACCACTCCCAGCTAATTTTTGTATTTTTAGTAGAGATGGGGTTTCACCATGTTGGTCAGGCCGGTCTCGAACTCCCGACCTTATATGATCCACCCGCCTCGGTCTCCCAAAGTGCTGGGATTACAGGAGTGAGCCACCACACTTGGCCTGGTCTGTTCAAGTTTTCTATGTCTTCCTGATTCAATCTTGGTAGGTGTCCACCAGTTTATCTATTTTCTCTAGGTTTTCCAGTTTGCTAGCTTATAGTTGTTCTGATAATCTTTTGTATTTCTTTGGTATCAGTTGTAATGTCTCCTTTTTCATTTCTGATTGTAACTTGGTTTTTCTGTCTTTTTTACTGGGTTAGTCTAGCTAGGAATTCATAATTTATTTTTTAATCTTTTCAGAAAACCAACTTTTCACTTAATGAATTCTTTGTATTTTTTTAGTCTCTATTTTGTTTAGTTCTTCTCTGATCTTTATATTTCTTCTACTCATTTTGGATTTGGTTTGTTCTTGCTTTTTCAGTTCCTTCAGGTATATCAATAGATTTTTTATTTGGAATATTTTTTGATGTAGGTGTTTATTGCTATAAACTTCCCTCTTAGGTCTGCTTTTGCTGAATTTCATAGGTTTTTCATATGTTTTGTTTTGATTTTGTTTGTTTTAATTTCTTTTTTTGTTTGTTTGACAGTCTTGCTCTGTCACCCAGGCTCGAGTTCAATGATATGATCTCAGCTCACTGCAACCTCACCTCCAAAGCTCAAGCAATCCTCCTGCCTCAGCCTCCCAAGTAACTGGGGCTACAGGCATGTGCTGCCATGCCTGGCTAATTTTTGTATTTTTGTAGGACAGGATTTTGCCATGTTGCCCAGGCTGGTCTTGAACTCATGGGCTCAAGCAATCCACACCCGTCTGCCTCCAAATGTGCTGGGATTACAGGGGTCAGCCACTGCACCCAACCTTCAAATTTTGTTTTTAATGTCCTCCTTAATTTATTTCATGACACAATGGTTGTCAGGAGTATGTTGAGTATTTCCCATGTATTTGTACTGTTTCCACAGTTCTTGTTATTGATCTCTCGTTTTATTATATTGTGGTCAGAGAAGATACGTGATATGATTTCAGATTTTTAAAATTTGTCGAGGTTTGTTTCGTGTCCTAACATATGGTCTCTTCTGGAAAATATTCCATGTGCTTATGAGAAGAATGTGTACTTGCTGAATGAAATGTTCGGTAGCTGTCTGTTAGGTCCACTTTACCTAAGGTGCTATTTGATATTTGGATCCTACATTTCTTTGTTAATTTTCTGTCTAGATGATCTGTCTGAAGCTGAAAGTAAGGTGTTAACGTCCCAAACTATTAATATATTGCAGTCTATCTCTCTCTTTAGATCTAATAATATTTGTTTTGTATTATCTGATACCGCAGTTTTGGGTGCACACATGTTTAAAATTGTTATATCCTCTTGCTAAATTTATCTCTTTATCATTATATAATGACCTTGTTTGTTCCTTTTTACTGTTTTTGACTTAAAGTATTTTACATGATTTAAGTATAGCTGGCACCAGGGTTAGCAGGTCCAGGTGAGCCAATTCATGGGCCTTCATGAAGCTTGCTCAGGTGCTGAGAGTGGCAGTGGTGGGCTGGGCAGGTGGACAGGTATTCAGGACTCTCAGCAACAGGTATGGCATAAGTAACAGCAGTAGCAGTGGTGAGACACACTTCTGACTCCCAAGCAGTTCATGCTGGTGTTGACAGTGACAGTGGTGGGGTAGGTGGGACAGTCCCCAGGTCTGCAAGTGGCATGCACAACTATGCTGGTTGTGGCAGATTGAGTTGGCCCAACCTCAGGCTCCCAGGAAGAGTGCTTTGGTGCCAACATTAGTGGATGGGGCTGTGTGAGCCCGAGGCACCCAGGCACTTTTTCGGGCAGTAGGGAAGGGTAAGGAGTGAAGCTGGTTTTGGCAGGCCTGTCTGTCCTCAAGCCCCCTGGTGGTACATGCAGGTGTGGGCTGTTGTAGGTAGGGGTGAGTTGATTCCCAGGCACCTGGTGGAATGCTCTGGTGGCAATGGCAGAGGATGAGCTGCAGCCCCACTGCTGGGGGTGGTGGAGTTACTGCTAATGGCTTGCGCTTTGGCCCTGGTGGCAGCAGCCAACAACAGCAGTGGCTGCCAGTGGAATTTATCGATAGGGCTCCAGGGATGCAAAGATGCAGGCAGTGTTGGGCTCCAGGGTGGGACGCAGTCTGAGGGGGGCTGGTCTCTCAAAAATGGTGCCTTGCTACAGCTGCTTAGGACTCAAGGGGTGTGTGGGACTCATCTTGAGCTCCCTCTCTGGAACAGAGCTGTCATGCTGTCTCCAGGAAGCTCTTTATGTTAATTTCAGGGTATGCAAGGGTAAGAGGCTCTCCCATGGGTAGGACCACAGGAGTCCCTCAGAGGTATGAGGATTGCTGGGGGTCTCTTGCTTACCTTTTTCCCAAACCAGGGAGCTTATCTGGGATACTAGCCAATCCCAGTTTAGTAGGCTATTCTGACTCTCTCTTCTTATTTGCCCTAGGTGTTTCCTGTCACTTTTCTGGTGAATTCCAGTGTTCTTTCTTAGATGACCTATTTAGAGTGTAATTATCTACTCATTCTGTTGGTTCTTTGAGGAGGAGGGAAGTACCATATGCCTCTAGTCAGCTATCTTGAAGCCCTTCCAATTTTAAGAAAATATTGAAGACTTCCCAGTGTTAGGATAAGCAGTCATCATGAACAGTACCTGTGAGTATGCCTTTATTAGTACTTGCATGCCTTTAATACTGCAATACTCTGTAGCAGTGTTTTCTCACCCACTAAAAATGAGAGCCATAGGAAAACCCTGATGTTGCTTGATTCTTCTCTGGACACATTTAAAATTGCAGTTTTAATTCTGGTCTGTAACTGTAGAGCCAAATATGAAAGGAGAAAGAAATGGGGGAAAAACCTATTTTATTGCTATTTTTCATCACACGAAACACAGGCCTTCTCCCTCATTCCTTCTTACTCTTGCTTCCCATACTAAATATTAGAAAGATGAGGAAAGGTGAAAATAAGGGATTATTCTTTTATCTTCTCTTTTCTTGTCCTTTTACAACCATCCTGTTCTATACTCCCATTCTATCCAGCTCTCTTGAGCATCAAGTTTTAAAGGCGGTAATAAGGGCAAAACATAAAAACAGTGTAAAGCACAAGGCCCTGGATGGCTTTGGATTTGGCCCAACATAAGCTCATAAAGTTTCTTAAAACATTATGAAGTGTTTTTTTTGCGATTTTATTTTTATTTTTGGCTCATCAGCTATCATTAGTGTTAGTGTATTTTGTATGTGGCCCAAGTCAATTATTCTTCCAGTGTGACCCAGGGAAGCCAAAAGATTGGACACACGTGGTGTAATGTGTAAAAAGAGAAATAAAAAGCAGAGCAAAACAAAGTAAGATTCTCATTACTTCTAGTCCCTGCCTGTCAATTGAGTAAAATCATATCTTCTCCTTTACCATTACCTTAGTTAGGGCAACTAAAGCAGGATTTACAACAAACATGTGAAAAATCCCAGTGGCTTAATGAAATAAAAGTTTATTTCTCTCTTACAAAGAGTTAATTTCACTTGTACTCGATTGGGCAGCTCATGGCTGGCCTCCAAGGAGTGATTCAGGAATCCAGGCTTCTTCCAACTTATGATATCATCATCTCTAACATGTGGGCTTTAATGCCTCGAGGAGAGGTGAAAGAGTATGAGGAAGGAACACTGCAACCCACATCACTTTAACTTTACATTTCTATTCACCAGAGCTGGTCTCACATGAATGGAAATAGGTAGCAGCTGCTCAACAACAATTCTACTCTGTATAAAGGTGCAGAGACCTTAAGTGTTCCATTAGTTTTCTATCTTTGCCATACACCCCATAAGAGATTCCATTTCTTTTTATTTCAAGTCCCTGTTTGTCCACTATGTTCCCAGTCTCTTTCATCAACCTAGAATGTATACATAAGCTAACAGTTCTGTATGAAAGTCCATGATCTTAAATGTTACCATTGAATTGAGAACACATATATTTGAAGAGTCCCAATATAGGCTTTGAACACACTTACTTGAAAAATTGTTGATGGGTAAAATTATTTGGATTTATGTTTTTATGAGAACAATAAAATACATCAGGGATATTATGGACTAAATAGGATTTTGTAGGGAGGAATTAGAACTAAATCATCTCACGTAACAATAATTATATGAAAAATGACTCCAAACATAATTGATATTTAATGTTAAGCAAAATATATAAATTGATGGCTGCACATAACAACCTTTTAGGGATGGGCATGCAAGTGGAATTCTGTAGGGGTGTGATGATTCTTTTATTACAGAAGCAGCTGTAAGAAGATAACTCAGAATACACATGTTCTTTCATCAGGTGTTTTGTTGTGCTTTTTTTTTTTTTTTTTTTTTTTTTGAGACAGAATTTCACTCTTGTCCCCCAGTCTGGAGTGCAATGGCATGATCTCGGTTCACTGCAACCTCTGCCTCCCAGGTTCAAGTGATTCTCCTGCCACAGCCTCCTGAGTAGCTGGGATTACAGGGGCGTGCCACCACACCCAGCTAATTTTTTGTATTTTTAGTAGAGAATGTTTCACTATGTTTCACTGTGTTGGCCAGGCTGGTCTCGAACCCCTGACCTCAGGTGATCCACCCACCTCAGCCTCCCAAAGTGCTGGGATTAAAGGCATGAGCCACCATGCCTGGCCTCATGGGGTGGTTTTTAAAAATTATTTGTTATTTTTTTGTTTATTAATTCCTCTAGGAGATAATAGACATTAGATTTTTCCCTCCACAGACAGAGACTGAAGTATTTTATCTTGATAATCTCAGGTCACAGCAGTGTTTGACCTATCTTTGGAGCTCAAACACTTGCTCACTTAAGTTCTACAGTCAGAAGGAGGATTTTTGTTTCTTTCTGCTCTGTGTAAATCAGCTAAGAGCTGCTAAGGAAAGGTCATTGATCTTCATAGATATAGTAGAGAAAAGCATTCTGGGTCCATTTCTCTGATGAAGCATAAAAACCTAACAGAGGCAACTCACTCTGGTCAGTAAATGACCACAGAGATTATTTTAAAGATGGTACTCTAAAGGAAGAAAGATAAATTTGTTGAAGTTATTTTATTAAGGGAAAGTTTTAAATATATTTTTTCTTGTATTAAAATAGAAAAGTTACTAGATTCGTGTTATAAGTTATAGTTGAGAATTTATTAGCAGAAAAACTCTTTGAGATTTACTGCTTTTCATTGTTTTAATATATTGTAACTTTGATATGTTTATATCTTCTGACTTTATTTGATTGATATACATATAATTATTTAAATTATTTTTGTTTACTTATATAAATTATTTGATTTCATTTTTTAAATTCCTCTATATTACATGATGGCCAAGTATTTGAGACTATAAGGAAAAAGTATATGGTTCCTGGTCTCACAAATATAGAGATCAGGGAAAGAGGGAAAAGAAAAATAATACAATCTGATAAGAGCTTGGATATACATACAACAATAGAATATGAGAGCTATATTCAACACAGGGAAGGGAAAAATACATATTTTGTTGTTAGTTTGTTATTTAACTGTCTTTCTTAACCAACTGAGCCAGGTGGGGATCAACAATTTGACTTATATATGAAATACCAGTGCTTCATAATGGCTGGGTCTGACTCATGCTAGTTGCTGAGTAAATGATTATAGAACTGCTTACTTGGCAAAAAGACACTACCTAATCTATGTTGCTGTGTGTCATGATCTTGTGGCAGATGGTCTCAAAGCTAGGATGCATCATGATGATATCAAGTGTAACGGGAATGTCACATATTTCTATTCTGAATGCAGTTATTGAGGACTTCACTAAGAAACTGGTTAAAGGCTTTTTATATATATTCTCACTTAAACTTGTGTCCTATGAGGTAGATTCAACTCTTACCCATATTCTACAGATAAAAAAAATGGAACCTTAAAAAAAGTAAATGACCTACATGCTCAATGTCACCAAATTTTAACTTAAAAAAAAATAATTAAAAAGAAGATCATATGCCAGATACTGGTCTCCTAACCAGAGTATTTCCTACCTTTTAGTTTTCCTTTTTTCATTTTCTAAAATAAGTTGTAATCATAGTCATATTTATGGTTAGGTTTTTATTATGCCACACTTACTGGTCCTCTCAAATTAATCCAATATTTATTTATATGTTAGTAAATATATGTTAGTAAATATATATGTCATGGTAAGATGTATAACTCAAAACTTACTATATGATTTTTAAATGTTTAATCAGTTGTTACATAAACTAAAATAAATTGCATTATAAACACAAACTGTTATAAATTGTGAGGTGTTTTTACATGTTATCTTCTGTGTTGTAAAAAAAAAGTATATACTAGTTATTATTATACCTATATCACAATTGAGGAAACCAGAGAAAATTCGTTGTGAATTGCTCATTTGGAAAATGAGAAAATAATATAAGGCAGCTTTAGAAAAAAAAATCACTTACTGTTATACTGGGAGTCATGAATAATAATAGAACCAGAGATATTAAATAGACCAGGCCCAGGAATTACAGAGTGATCTAGTTTGGATGTCCCCTCCAAATCCCACGTTAAAATGTAATGTCCAGTGTTGGAGATGGGTCCTGTTAGAAAGTGATTGTCTCACGGGGGTGAATTATGAATGGTTTAGCACCATCTCCTTTGTGCTGTCCTTGAGACAGTGAGTGAGTTAGTCATGACATCTGGTTGTTTAAAGTGTGTGACACTTCTCCCACACCATTTTCTCCTGGTCTCTCCATGTGATATGCCTAATCCCTCTTTGCCTTCCACCATGATTGTAAGTTTCCTTAGGCATCCGAGTAGATTCCAGCACTGTGCTTCCTGTAAAGCCTGCAGAACAACAATCCAACTAAACCTCTTTTCTTTATAAATTACTCAATCTCAGGTATTTCTTTATAGCATCACAAGAATAGCCTAACACACAGAGCTACCAAGAAGATAGATTAGATACATAGATAGATAGATAGATAGATAGATAGATAGATAGATAGATAGATAGATAGATACATAGATACATAGATACATAGATACATAGATACATAGATACATAGATACATAGATACATAGATAGATGATAGATAGTTAGAGGCTCATACGTAAGTATTTATCTCCATATAGACAGATAGATAGATACAAAAGCTACATTTCTCACTAAAATTTTGATGGCAATTTGCTTAAAGTTTTCCCTTATTTGGATAGTTTTTTCTGTCTTTGGATTCCTTGGGTAAACATCCTTACCTTCCTTAATGCGTGTATTTTAGTTCCTACTTACCATGTGCTAAGCCCAAGTTGCTCTCTGGTAAATCGCATTTCAAATTCCCAAATTCGACTGTCTCAGCATTAGATCAGATGCATTTCTCATTCAGTCTTTCAGTCTTCAGATAATAAAGGCCTGAAAGGCATGCAGTATGAAGAGTGATGCTGAAGAAACACTTCCCTATGTGGACAGCACCGTTCCCAGAAAATAGGACTAAGTTTTCATGATATTACATCTCTTTATTGCTCAGTGTACACGTTCTTATTTCCCAAATATGCAATTCCAATAATAAAATATTTTATCAAAATATCACTATCGCAAGTCAAATGTCAGGAGCATTCCTTCCTCTTTCGGGAGGGAACACAAAATCTGATCAAGCTATTACATTCATGGGCCATAATATGAAGCCACTCTTCTCTGTCTGTTATGCTAAGGTGAATTCCAGATTTCCATTGGTGTATTCTAATTTTTATACAAGTATGACATTTTTATTCTGCTGAATATGGACCACTCCCAATAATCAGAAAATAATCATTAAACAATACCCTAAATTTAGCTTCTGTTCAGAATAAAAAGTATGTAGAGAAAAAAATATATAGTAGATTGGTCAGTGATGCAAGACCTAATATTTCCTGTTTTACATGGATAACAATGTGCATGATGACATCAAGTATCCAGACCAATTATTTGAATCCCCTGGACTGCCCACCTGGCTGCATAATATGTTTCTCATTTTGATAATTTCTTTGGCCCAGGGATGTTTAAGGCCTCCTATAAGAAAGGAATTAGTAATGAATTCTGTGTGTTTGTGAATGTGTGAGAGAATGATGTGTAAGGTGGGAGGTAACTAGCATTTTGCCGTGAATCAGATGTCAGAATGCTGAGTTTTGTTGTCTGTAACACTATTTTGCTTTCTTTTTCTTTTCTGTCTTTGTTTGCTTGTTTGTTTACCCCATTTGGAGCTAACTAAAATTGTGATTTATTACAAGTACATTTTCTTTGGAAGGAAGGAACAATTTGCTAAAAACCAACAGAGTTTCAGTCACATGCAGAAACTCACTTATTGTTCATCTACCTAATTTCCAAGTTGCTAGAATACAGAATCTGATTGTCTTAGCTCAGGTCAGTCACCCATCCCTTTTTCCACAAGCCATCGTCAGAAATACAGAGCAAGCATCAGCAATGTCTATGCTAAGAACCCACCCTGTGAATGCGTTGGACACTTCCCATTGAAGAATAGATGAACACAAATTTCTGTGTATAAATACACTCAAAATTCCAATACTCTTTCCTCTAAGCCAGTATAATTATTGACTAAATGTGCAAGTGAAAGATGTAACTCTGTTCATTTTCAATGAAGAATTAGCAAGAAAACTGCAATTCTTTATTTGATGTTACCATTTTCCATTTTTCTTACAAACAAAAATGTAATATTGGGGAAGATATTGAACACTCTGAAATGCTACTGAGAGTCTAGCAGGGACTTTCAATATTCTTTTTGGAATCAAAGGATAAATGAAGAAAGGAAAGTGATGGGGATGCTGACAATAGGACTGAATTAGACAGAAATTATGGCTGTTTGGAGACAACCTAGAAGAAAAAGTATGGTAGAAGATCCTGAGAAAATGATCAAAAATATCAGTGTGATGTGTTCTTAGTCCTTAGGACTTTTAAAGTTCAATCCTCATTGTAAGCATAACTATTTATCTTCTTTCTGACTCTTTTATCCATTATCTCCTCTCCCCTATATTTTCTCTCTTGTCAAAAAAAGTACTTTTGTTTATTGACGATACAGAGTTTTAAACTACCTGAAACCAAAGTGCCTATTGTGGAAAGTTTTATGTCTGACAGCTATATTTTAGCCAATAAAAGAATAATAAAATAATAGCTTGACTCCTTCTTTGTTTTTCTTCGAAGGCAATGAACACTACAACTAGGGCAATAACCTAGCCCAATCTCCATCATTTCATGCGTTCACTTTGTGCTACATTTCACAAACCTTTGGCGATCTTTACTTTTTACCTTCTACATCTAAATATGTAAATGGCTACATATCAAGAAAATAATATTAATTATATGTAATTCCCTGCTTAACAAATGATGGTGAAATAATAAATGAAATTTTAAGACCAGTAAAAATAATGAAAACATTCTAGAGATACTAATAAGAAAAAAGAAATTCAAGATATGCTAACTGTTGAGAAAAAATACAGTATGTTATAATTTTTGTATACATATATTTATACTGTGTGCATATGTGAATATATTGTATAGATATTATTTACCTATATTATATAAACATATTAAAGTATACATTATACTTAAACAGTGTTTACCTCTGAGTGATAAGAGATAGCAAGAGACTTCTGTAAACCTGTGTTATATGTGATTTTCTTTTCTGTGTATATATATGTACATAAATCCTTATATTGTTGTAATTATTCTACTATCAGTGGATTGTACTTTTTAATCCATTAAATATTCTTTTAAATCCAGTTTTTGAAAGAGTTATGCAATCTTCTCTATAAAATACATTGATAAAAATATAGATTCATATTGGAAATAAAAATACATATTAACAAAAAGGTAGATATTTACTGATTTAACATTTTTATTATACTTCCATACTTAGGCTATAGTATTACAGAATCACACACAAAAATATTTGGATGAAATTCTAAACATATAATTACATAATTTAACAACATATTCTGAATTATAATATAAAATATTTCAAAAGATATAAATAAAATACACCTTTGGGCATATCAAATAATTGTAAAAATCACCTTTATGTGAGTTTTGTTCCATTAATATTATGACTCATCCTTCTAGAATAATAAACACTTTAAGCTGGCTACGTAGCATTTGCTCATTTCCCTCAGTGAGAGCATTAAAATTTCACCTATTACCCTGTTACTTGGGAAGATAGACTATGTCATTTGGTATAACACTGGTGATTTATCTAGTCTGGCATTTTCTCTTCTAAAAATACATTTTGAAGATCATTCTTCCCTCTGTGCTCATGAAGACAACATGGTTTAGAATTTACAAAAGGGTAGAAATTTATCTTAAGCAAGAGTATGCCAATTCCATGTGACATTTATCCTCTCAAGCCAGATGGCAGTGGGATGGAATTTGGGTCCTTCTTTTTCTTTTGTATATTATTCAAAGATTAATTAAATGTTCAAATTGAAAACCAACAACAAACCTAAATAATTCCATTATGTATTTAGCTAACTCTGTCAATAAATGAAAGAAGAGTGTCTAGTCACTATTATTAGTTCATTACATGAATATTTGGTTGATGGTTTTAGTAGCATTGATGATCAGAACTGGAATATAAATATATAATGCTCACAAGAAAATTTCCAATGAATTGTTATAGAAAACTTATATTATTTCACCAAGGAGCTTCAAATCTGCTAATCAGTTCCATACATTTCTGCCCCTTTCCTGAAAAAACCTCAGAAAAAAAGATTGTATTTTTTTTTTTTTTTTGTCTGGATGTTTTGAAGTGTTCCAGCAAAGATGTGACTTTAACTGTACAGGCAGTCCTGACCTTCTAGCAATGTCATTAAAAATCGAGAGACATAGAGAAGATATAGAAGGTGGCATCCTCAAATTTAAATTGGCCCAGAATATATTACAGATTTAGTATCACTTATCCAAAACACTTGAACCAAAAAGTGTTTCAGATTTCTGATTTTTTCAGATTTTTGAATATTTGCATTACACCAGGCTGGCTGAGCATCCCATTTTTGAAAATCTAAAATCTGAAATACGCCAATAAGCATTTCCTTTGGGCATTATATCAGTGCATAAAACGTTTTAAATTTTGGAGCATTTCAGATTTGGGATTTTTAGATTTGAAATGCTCAACTTGTAACACCAGTGTGACAGAGGTAGACCCTTCATGCAGCTTCTGTGAGAGATGTATATTTTTGCCATAATTATTTACCTAACTCAGATTATTGGTTACCACAAAATATATGCTCATCAGAAAAATACTGGTCCAAATTTGCTTTTCAAGCATGTTTATTTAATTGTAGTATAATGAAGACAAATCTTCAGAGCTAGTTGGCATTATCATTAATTTATTTGGACTTTTGTGGAAAACAGAGGAAACTTGAAACCTAAATGGCCTTTTGGATGCCAAAGGAAAAAAAAAAAAAGAATTTGTTGAGAGTAGATCAAGTTCTAACAATGCTAACCTTTAACACTGAGTCTACTGTGAGATCTGGAATGAGAGAACTGCTTCAAGAGAGTAACATTAATTCTAGGAAATGAGAAATATACATTTAGGAAAGATAAATGAAAGGCACTTGAAGAAGAATATTATCTAGCTTTCTTCACCAGAGAGGTTCTCAAGTAAATTGGAGAACCTTCTACCTATGGTTCTCTGCATACACACAACTCAGCATTTTAGATTGGATAGCTGGTAGAGGTCTTATTCTTTTGAGGAACTAAGTCAAATATTGGTATGTTATAGAAATAAAAATTCCATTTACATTTCTTTGAAGTGGAAGGGAAGTTATGACCCCGAATATTTCACTCTTATTACTTAATTGAAGATATTTTGATCATTCACATGTTAGGCCATTGTAAGGCAATAACATAGGGTACATACATGTCTCTGCTAAATCTAGACTTTTTCATGTGATAAAGAGTATATTTTTGCTTTTTCCACTTCTCTACTCAATATAAAGTGTCTGTATCATTCACCTCATCCTCCACAACTCTGCTCCCTTTGAAACTCCTGCATTTGGCCCTTAACATCATTCCCTACCAACAATGTTAGCTTCTTAAGATGAGGTTTTGAAGTACATCTCAAATGAAATAATAGACTCCTCTTTTGCTTGGTACTCATTCTAATAAGAAAGGGTAGAGGAAGGTGTTCAGTGACAAGAAAACCTCCTCAAATTTATTCATTACTAAATAATTTTACATCAGCCTATCATACTTGGATTGTGAATTTGCATGTCTTTGAAATTCTAATAGCTGTTAGGTCTATGACAGAAAATGCTTGTAATAGCCCTAGCTCAAATAGATCTCAATGTCTTCATAACCTCTGATTAGATGTTTGAAGATTATGAGCAAGACAGGGAATAGAGGATGATAAACATTAAAGAATGAATTTAATTTTAAAAGTATTAAGGTTGAGCTGCTAATGAGACATCTGTGTAGATCGTGTCCCATAAATACTTATAGAAATGCAGTTAGAGCACAGAAGAGAGCAAATGGCAAGTAAAACATAAATCAGGACTACCAGCCTAAAGATTATGTCTCAAGATACAAGATTTAAATGATTACCTAAAGCTCACATTATATGTCTTTATCTAACAAGCCATTAAATAATTTTCCTCTTCCTTATTCAAGTTATGAATAAATTGAGAAGTAAAATAGCATATTCTTCAGATAAAACACCAAGAGATCATTTCTATGACTGGTAAAGCTAGACCAGAAGACACAGTTTGATAAATGTCAAATGAGCCTGAGATCTCCCTAATCATACTAACAGTCTACACAGGATACCCCATTAATAGGAAATGCAGAGTCTGCAAAAAAAATACAATTCAATGTTTTCTTTTGATTTAGTTGGAGGAAGGAGAAAATAATTGATTGAATTTCCTATGCCCAGCTGTGTTTCTGAATTAGCTGTTTTTAGAAAGGTTTGAGTCAAGGGCTATTATCCCTTCTCCCAACATGGTAGTTAATTACTTCATATAAGTTGGAGAAATTGATGGGGTAATAAACAAAGAAACAGAATCTTATGGTAGACAGTGTGGATTTTCATGCTAGAGATCTCTGTATGAGTCAGAAGATTGAATTAATTAAATCTACTCCAAAATTGCATATTACTCAAGATTGAAAATTCTCCCAGAATTATTATACCCTCCTCAAATTATTATTGTCCACTATGGCCTGTAATAACCTTCTGCAAGTAAGACCAAAGGACATCAACAACAACAGTTTTGCAAAAATGTCATTCGTATAGTCATGCTGTATATTGAAACACCTCATGGAGATAAAAATGTCCCAAACCAAAACAGGTTAAAGTTCAAAATGTTAAATGACAAATAATTAAAATCTGATGTAAATCTCTCTTGCATTTGTCTGTTAAAAATCCAAAAAAAATACCCCATTTTATAAGATGTGATTATTATCCATTGCATGCCTGTATCAAAACACCTCATGTACCCTATAAATATACACACCTAATATGTACCCACATAAATTAAAATTTAAAGAAATCCAACAAAATTGCTCATAGAGATTAGTTTTAGCGAAAGAGCTTTCCAAGATTAGAAAGAGTTAAGGGTCATTCAGTCGCTTTAGGCTTTAGTGTTTCTTACCCAAAAGTTCTACTTCTTTTAGGAGCTCACAAATTTAATAAATTTCTGGTCAAATTTTTTATTATTCTCACTTTAAATAGTCCAAACATTTAACAGAACATACACCATTTCACATTGGCTCTTTATTATTACTATTATTATTAATATTATACTTTAAGTTCTGGAATACACGTGCAGAACGTGCAGGTTTGTTACATAGGTATACACGTGCCATGGTGGTTTGCTGCACCCATCAACCTATAATCTACATTAGGTATTTCTCCTAATGCCATCCCTCCCCCAACCCACCCCCCCACCCTGACAGGCCCCAGCATGTGATGTTCCCCTCCCTGTGTCCATGTGTTCTCACTGTTTAACTCCCACTTATGAGTGAGAACATGTGGTGTTTGGTTTTCTATTCTTGTGTTAGTTTGCTGAGAATAATGGTTTCCAGCTTCATCTATGTCCCTGCAAAGGACATGAACTCATTCTTTTTTTACAGCTGCATAGTATTCCATGTTGTCTATGTGCCACATTTTCTTTATCCAGTCTATCACTGATGGGCATTTGGGTTGGTTCCAAGTCTTTGTTATTGTGAACAGTGCTGCAATAAACATATGTGTGCATGTGTCTTTATGGCAGAATGATGTATAATCCTTTGGGTATGTGCCCAGTAATGGGATTGCTGGGTCAAATGATATTTCTGGTTCTAGATGCTTGAGGAATTGCCACACTGTCTTCCACAATGGTTGAACTAATTTGCACTCCCACCAACAGGGTAAAAGCGTTCCTATTTCTAAATCATTTAAATTAGCCTCTAAATCACTTATCAGGTTAACTTATAGTCTCAGAACATAGTGTTACAAAAGACCAATTTCTTTTTATTTCTCCTCGAAAATTGGCTGAATTATTACTTTTCTGTAATTGGCCAAAAGCAATCAACACAACCAATTCATCACATTAAGTTTCAGTTTTTTGTTTTTGAGATGGAGTCTTACTCTGTTGCCCAGGCTGGAGTGCAATAGCATGATCTCGGCTCACTGTAACCTCTGCTTCCTGGGTTCAAGCGATTCTCCTGCCTCAGCCTCCCAAGAAGCTGGAATTACAGGCATGCTCCATCACACCCGACTAATTGTTTGTATTTTTAGTAGAGAAGGAGTTTCACCACGTTGGTCAGGCTGGCCTCGAACTCCTGACCTCGTGTCCACCTGCCTCATCCTCCCAAAGAGCTGGGATTACAGGCATGAGCCACTACTTCTGGCCACTAAGGTTCAGTTTTACCACTTCCCCCAGAGCTTCTAGTTTAGCAGACATGTGGTATGTGTACCTAGTTATTACAGATAATAATTTTACCAAATGTTTTGCCTCCCACTGTCAACATTTCATTTTTAGTTATGTTAGAAACCTGCTTTTAGTTGAAATTTATGTTAATTAGTCCATGCATTAAGAATAGCATCAAAAACTGGTGTTTTTAGATGAAGAAGCGTCTTGAAGATTGGAGGAAATGATATTTGGGAAATCCGTGTTTCTGGATAGTTTATTTGTATATTTTGAAACAAAGTTATTAAAATCTACAAATTTGCTGTTACTATATATTTCTGTTAAGATGAAAGTTCTTTTATGAAACTAATGACTCACAGTATCTCTAATAATGCTTTTATATCAACATCTATTTTTTATCATTTATTTTCCAGCGTTCTTTGGTTAGTATCAGTATTTTCTTGGTATAATTTTTTTTTACTTATTGTTATTTGACTCTATGTGTTCTTATAATTTTAGTAGCTTTGCTATAAGCAATGAAAAACTTACATTTTGAATTCACCTGGCATATTTATCTTTTATCTCAAGAATTTAGTACATTTATATTGATTTGCAAGTCTATGAAGTTTATGTTTTCTGATTTTCAAGATCTTCCTATGCATCTGTTTTCATTGTAGAGCCACATAACAAGCCTCAAGAGGAGCTAATCTCAGTTTAAATTGTAAGTAAAAAGAAAAAAACAAGAAAACATAACGGGACAAAACAAACAAACAAGCAAAGAAACAAACAGCATCTGACTTTTTAACTGAGAATTGGCCTTACCCTAATGGAGAAGAGAGAGTGTTATCTTGTGAACATAAACAATTTCAAAGACTATCCACATGGTATAAAGTCACTTGTTAAGTGTGATGATGTATGACCTCATAATACTATCTGAGCACAAAAGAGAACTGAAAAGGACAACTGCAGATCCACTAACAGCAAGTTTTTATTTCCTTTGGGACTCAGTACTTGGCTAAGTGCAATCCTTGTTCCTGTAACTTTAAAAGCTTAGTGTTTTTTGCCCAGTGAATCAGTTGTTTTCAATAGCAACCTCCCTCCACTATTTATCAGCTAAATTTTGGTGATGAAACTGTCATGACATTATTACTTTTACTTTCTTACCATCGGTTAGATGGATCAAAAAGTTCATTCTTTGCTAGTTTATTTATTCATAATTTTGAGTTTTTACATTCTACTCTTTTAATGATTCCTCCAGAAATTGAATATGCATATATTTAAAAGCCTAAATTTGATGCATATTTTATTTTACAGTTAGCACTTTACTAAATGTATACTATTATTATCTAGCATTTTAAGGCTATTTTATTTTATTTTTTTAAGTCTATTTTGATTAACCCTGTTATTTAGATATTTACTATCATTTTTATATATCTAATAATTACTTAGACACACCTATAATTTTCATTTTCTTGAATATTTACTACATCTCAGAAATTATTTGAAAGTATTTTTCTTATTTGTGAATCATATATTTAGACATATTTTAAATGAGTATTTATTGGTAGCAAACTTAGATTTTCATTTAATTTGAAAATATCTTTCCTCTACCTTTGTTTTTATTCAGACAGCTAATAAACAACAGATTGAATATGGTTTTTTTCTAATGGATTATTTATTAAGCATTTCTGGCTTTTGTTGTTGTTTTTAATTACCTGTTAACCTAATTGGTATTTCCTTCCTCATAATCTGTTATTTCTTTCTTATATGACCTGCTAGTTGTATTAGCTGTTCAGCCGATATAGAGATATATCTAGGAGTTGATATTTTTATTCTGCTTCCTTTTGTACTTTCTGGATATTAGGATTTATCCTGTTCACCATTTGAGTCAAATTCTAAGGTAGTATCTTTTCACATTTTATGTTTCAACCATTCTCTTTATTTTTACATTATAGAATACCAGTTAAATATATGTTAAAATTTCACACTTCATTCACCATGGCCCTTACCGTTTTAATATATTTTTGCTTTTTGTTTGTTTGTTTCTAATGCTCTATTTTCTAGTTAACACTCTTTTCAAAAGTGTCTAGTCTGCTCTTTAAACATTCTTAAATGCCTCATTCATTTATGGAAGTACATTCTAATTCTTTCTAAACTTACACATTAAATTTGATAATCTTTTATATTTCACCAAAGTTTTAAACTCCTCTGACTAGCATGATTAAACTTTGTGCTGGACATAATTTTAGGCTAGCTTGAGTAGGACAGTCGAGCCTTGGAATTTATGTGAACTTGCCACATTATAATTTGTTTGGTCCATCTCACACATAGGCTTCAGTCCCCTGTGCCTAATCACACTCTTTTCTGTGATTCCATATTTAACATGTTTTTTTTTTATGTTTCAAGGAGCCCCCTAGATAGTCCTCAGCATCTCCTTTACTCTTTCCACAACCATCTTTTCAAAGTCTCAGCTCATATAAGCTCAGCCCACACCCACCCATTCCCTGAGACATTTCTGGCTGAGGCTATAAATGCCTCATTATGACACGAGTCTTCCTTCCCTTACTGAAATAGTTTTTCAAATAAGATTTCTCTTTAAGCCCCGATTTGCTTTAATTTGACATATCCTTAAATCTTAATATATATAACAAAAATATAATATAGATTCCATTTCTGATATTCTTCCAATATTTTAATGTTGCATTGATTTTCTAACAGAGTGGGTAATCATTAATGATGGATTTTTTCCTCAGGTATTTTGTAATTTTTAATAATGAATACTATTTTTCTTGTAATGATGGTTTAAAAAATCATTTAACAGTTGTGTTTGTGTGTGAAAGTGAATGGAGGGTGTTTGCCTGCTTCTGCCTGGTGTCTGTGCTCTAACAAATTAAGAGTTTAAACTATTTATAACTTTTTGAACTAGGATATCTCAGGTCATATAGGAAGTATGAATTTTGGCTTTCATACTTAACATAAATGAGGAATTGTGATTATGAATTCTCCAGGAAAACTTCAGTACATATTCTCACAAGTTCTGTTCCACAAGGAGCAAAAATTCAGAAGTGCAACTATTGTTTTCCACAGTTCTGCAGAATTTTTCAGAATTTGTGTCCCATTGAGAACATGGCCTTAATGAAGGTCCTGAATGTAGGTCAGAGGAACCAGATGACTCTCCATATTGCTCAAAATTGTTCCCATCACCCAGGTGGGGATAAAGAAAAGCTAGCTTCCACTTAACCTACGATTGGCAGCCACCATGTTGTAGGGTGTGTCATCGTTTCTGCAATCTGCCTTTCATTGTTTACCTCAGCCTAGTTGAAGAGCAGACAGGCTGTAAGATAATTTTTAAAAATGTTTTAAACACTTCTACTACTTATTAGGGAGGGGTGATGTCTCTACTTTTACTTAGATGCCAAAGTCCAGAATTGACTGTGATAAGGAAGTTTTTTCCTTAGCTATTTGATGTTTTGCCTGTCTTAAACCTATTACTACCATTTTGCATTTAAGTAAGATGCTGTAATTTTTATGGCTAATGGTTATAGCAAAAGAGTTCAAAAATACATTAAAAAGTGATAAAAAATATCTTCTTAAGCTATCAAAAAAACTTTGTAGTAATAGAGATATACTTTATAAATGTACAAACCTTGCTTTGTGTTTTGGTTTTCTGATATACATTCAGATTAAAATGATTTTAATAGCATGTTTCTTAGAAAAATTTTTGAAAATAGGTTGGAAAAATCAGTGGGTAGAATTTGGTTATATTTAATATAGTATGATTTAATCCTATTATATTTAAATCATTAGTTCTATATTATATATATATAATTATCTAGTTTAGCTTGTTGAATTTTCTGCACAGAATCATGTTTCATAGTATGTTACATTCAGCAGAGCCTTTATAAATTGCAATGCTATCTACTACTAAAGTTTCGCTAATTCATGAAGATAAATAGGATTATTCAACTACTTCCAAAATTATGTGTGTGCATAAATGCATGTATATATGTGTGCATATGTGTATATATGAAATATATATTAAATTATAATATATAATTACACATATTATATATCATATGTAACATAATATATAATTATTCTGATCTAATTTTTTCCTTTAGCTACTATCTTACTTTTCTTCGACTCTCTTGAGCTTTCCATTTCACTAAAGGACAACTCTATTATTTTAGTTATTCAGGCTAAAAATCTTGGCATCATTCTTGACCAGTTTCTTGTTTTCAGAGTCTACATTCAGTTTATAAGTAAATTCTGAAAACCTTAATTTTACATAGCGAGGATTGACCCATTCCCCTTCACCCACATTTCCACCACTTGAGCATGACACCTTTTTTCTTGCCTGAATCATTGGCATAGCCTCTTACCTGATCCTCGTGATTTTGTCCTTGCCATAGTAATGACGTCAAATTCTGTCTAAAAATTCTTAAAACATTCCTTCTGGCTGTCCACTTCACTTAGAATTTACTTGAAGTCTTTTCTGTGATCTTCAGTGTGGAACATTACCTGCTCTCCTCTTCTTAGTATCCTGATTTCTTCTTTATCCTCTCTCTTTCATTCAGTTGTTTCCAGCACACTGGCTTCTGACTCTACCTTGAATATGCTAAATGTGTTACAACTCCAAGGTTGTTGCTTTTTGTATGTCTCCTTGGAATGCTCTTATTCCAAACACTCTATTACTAGATTACCCACTTCATTGTTTAACTCAGAAACGCACTCTCTGGGAAGCCTCTTTCAGACATCCTATCTAAACTGTCAAGTCCCCTCTACCACATACGTAATTTATATTTCTTTGGCCTACTTTTCTTCTTGTTTTTTTTTGAGATGTGGTCTTACTGTGTTGCCCAGGCTGGTCTTGAACTCCTGAATTCAACTCCTGGCCTCCCATAGTGCTGGAATTACAGGTGTAAGCCAGTGCAACCGGTCTCTTTGGTCTACTTTGGCACTTATTAAGATCTAAAATTTGGTATTTTTACTTAATGTTTCTTGTTTATTTTGTCTCCATTATTAGAATATAAGCTACATCAAAGTGGGGTTTTTCATTTCCTCTATTTTAGAATCTATCGCCATTTTAGTACTTAGAAGAATGCCTGAGGCATGAATGATTTTCAAAAATACTTGGCTAATTGAATAAATGAGTCAGTGAATTAGATTGATAGATTGCCTCTTTATAGACTGAAAATAATTGTCCATAGAAATTTTGAAGAATATGCTTCACTATTTCTTTACTTTTAGTATTGGTAGGAAGTACTACAACCTGCTTCTTTTATCCCTACTCTGACCTTAGAGATTTCTCCCAAAACTCGGATGAGTTTAGAGTTTTGTTTTAATGTTGTCACGTTTTCCATTAGTGTAGGTTTTTCTTTGTTTATTCATTTGCTTGATGCTTAGTGGTGGGCAATTTTATTCAAAAACAAATGTCTTTGAATTGCAGTAATAAAACTAAATTCCTTGAAAAAGCCTTGTCTATCATGTTCTCTACTCTCTCTTTCTGGATTTCTTATTCATGACATGATATAACTCCTGCACCTGTTCCCTAATTTTCTTGTCTCATCTCTCCTCTTTTCAATTGCTTTGCAGTTTTGTTCTCTAGTCTGCCATATATTCTCAACTTTATATGCCAACCATTATCTTCACTTTTTTCATTACACAGATCACGTTTCACTTTCAAAGGCATCTTTAAGTGTTTGCTGAATGTTTTACTCTACAGAGCCTTTAATATCCCTCCCTTTTGAGGATATTAAGTATTTTTAAGCTTTTTTTCTGCTTCATACATCATCTGTTTCCTCAGCGTTCTTTCGTTGTGTTATTATTCTTTCATCTTAGAGGCTTTTTTCAATTGGCCAGTGATTTCTGGTTCTCTGCCCGTAGTTGCAAATGAAGAACTCTAAAATTGCCCAGAGACTCTGTGTGAGCACAGACAAAGGTTAGATGGGAACACTTCTAAAGACTAATCTCCCTGGACATTGACTAAAAATAGCTGTGATTCATTATCTCTGATTAATTCCCTAAAGAGAATTCCTCCATTGACCTTCCTGTGGATGAAGACTTGGGTGTCTAGTATTAGAAGGAGCTGAGCACACAAATGCTTGGCCCCCTCAACTTTCAGTGTGTAACTCTTTACTAATTTCTCTGTTTTCAGCCTGGATTACTGCCATCAGCAGTGTTTAGTGCCTTCAATAGGACACCTGCTGTTCAAATTTTCCAGAGAATAAAACGCCAACCTAGATGCATCAAGCAAGGAAGTTTTAATTCCACATATGTCCACATTTTCAAGATTATCGGTGGCAGAAATTCCTGTGAATTACTAGGGTACTGCAATGCAGACTTTTTCCCTGCCAGCTTAAATCTCAGGTTTTTCCAATCTGATAAATGAATTACCATTTGTGCATTTATCACCAGCTTCCAGGATTTTGTTTATGATACCTTTTTCTCTTGTCTTTTTGACCTTGTGAATTTTGCCCCCTCTCCCTCAACCCACCATCTTAATATCTCCTTTATCTTACATTATTGGAATTTTAGGAAAGATCAAATTAAAACTGGGTATGTATCTGCAATTTTAAGTGACATCTGACCCCTGCCACTTATTTTTTTCATTGATAAGCAGGAAAAGATTTAATTATTTCCTGCCCTGAATTCTAAAACAAAGCAGTTCTCATAAAAAAAAAAAGAGTGTTAGGTTATGTCTTAGTTACCTTGGGCTGCTATAACCAAATACTATACACTGGATGTCTTAAATAACAGAAATTTATTTCTGATATTTCTGGAGTCCAGGTTCAAAGTACCAGCTGATTTTGTTCCTAATGAAGTCTCTCTTCCTGCCTTGCTGATAACTGTCTTCTTTGCTGTGTCTTCACATGGCCGAGAGAGAGAGAGAGAGGGAAGGAGAGAGAGACAGATAGAGAGAGAGACAGAGAGAGAAAGAGAGAGACAGAGACAGAGAAACAGCTCTGGTCACTTGCTCTTCTCTTAAAGACACTGACTTCATCATGCGGGCTCCTCTCTCATGATCTCATCTAAACCAATTACCTCCCAATGGTGGCGCTTCCATGTATCATCACACTGGGGATTAGGGATTCTATATTTGAATTTTGGAGTAGCACAAACATCCAGTCTATAGCAGGTTAGTTGAAAGTTACATTTTACAATTTGAATTTAAAGACATTAATATTGTATATTGATACATATTTTTCATGCTTAAATGGATGTCCCTGTCCTCTTTTTCAGACATTATGGTAACTTTACACATGTCTTACATTCTCTTTAGCCAAGATAAAACAAGGACAAAAATCAGTGTTAAGAATAAAATGTGAAAAAATGAAAGCTAATAGTTTAAACAAGAATCCTAGAACGTAAGTTTTAATTATTTCCCAAATAGCAAACACAGGCCTCTAAAATGAATTCTCAAGTGACTTCCTTGCTTTCTCCTGAGAGAATGAAATTAAAGTCTACTTTATAGAGAGAGCACTTTGTTATAAAATTAATTACCTTAATTATGTGTCTTTTTATAGATTAGCTTTAATTTTGGGAATCAATCCTTTAATGCATTTATGACTAGGCAGAATTCAAGAGTTTAATTTGATACCAAATGTTCTGACTGTCTTAAATCTAAGTTGGCAAATTATTTACTTTATATTTTGAAAACAATTTTTTAAATTAAGTACGCACATCCTTAGGTAACTGTGTAACATTCTTATTCTAACCAAAATTTGAACGTTATTACATAGCATAAAAACTTGTTTTTCAGTGGCATCATTAGTAAAAATTATGTTATTTTATTTACATATCACTTAAGTGCCAAAATGCATTTTTAATGCAATAGTCCAGCTTACTCTATGGGGCCTTATGCTACATTAGCATCATTATGAAGGAAGAAACCAAAGAGGGAAGACAGAGACAGCATGAGAGAAAGAGAAAGAGAGAGAGAGAAGTCTCCAATTTCATCTTTTATATGAATCTTTATATATCTATAATTTAAAAGTACATTGACATTAAATCACTTTAATTTTGTCTCTAAAGGACTTTAGTTGGAAGAATATTAAAATATATTGTCTTTATTTCACAGAAAGATAAACTTAAGCTCCTGAAAATGAATTATTAGCCCAATATTATATTGGGAAAACATGGTTAAAACTGTATTCGATTTAAACTGTTTTTTAAAGTATTAGTCAAAGGTTTTTTCAGTAACATGTGAACACTGTTTATTATACATTTTGATACTGGCATCCTATATTCTTTAAATTATAATACACACAGGATAAGATATAATTTTAAAATATTGACTATTCCTCCAGGTCCCTAAATATCCACATTTACCTGCTTACCAGTTTTAAAATTTGCATCAGCTTTAATAACAAACACCTCAAGAATGTTCAAATATGAAATATTTTGATTTTAAAAAGGTAGGAATTCAATCTAGTGATTTTAAAATTTTCATTTACTTTCTTCCTCAGAAAATCCCGCATTGTTTGCCATTTTAGGGTACCTTAAAAGGAAACATTAAAACCATTTCTCACTAGTCTAGTAGGTAAGTTTATTTCAATTCCTACATACAATACTTTTGGTGGCAGAGACACCCTTAGGGTTAAGCAGAGGACGCAGCTTTGGGTCAGTCACATTTTCTAATGTGGGAACTGCCTCTTTACAGAATCAGAAAGACATGTCTCTGCTTGGATTCTGATTTTTGTGCATTTCTCCTATTGAGAAGTCCCTTCAAATAGCTATGGTTCAGAAGGGAATTGGGGAAACGACAGAGCATTTATTTTAATACAAGCACTTAGCCTGACTTTCTTGACTAGATCCAAGGGACTAAAGTGGCACCAAATGGAGGAACTTTACAATGTGAGTTATTAGCCCAGCTTCGAAAAGTGCACCAAGGACAGAAACCATTTCAGTTTTACTGAAATCGCTGCTTAGCTCCAAAATACCTTCTATCATCTGAGTGAAACATAGTTCAGAGTAAGTCAGACAGAGGATAGCAAATAAACAAAAAGGCTCAGTAAAGCATATCGAAAACAGACTGATATGAAAACCCAGTATGTGTGCCAATGTGGCTCTCCGAGGCTCAGTGAACACAAATTTAACTCAGGTCAGCAATTCCATCAGCAATTTCTATTTTGCTATAGCCACAAGCTACCTGACATAAACGCAGTGATGTCCAACACAGATTCTTGAAAAGGTAAAACTTGAAAAGAAAGAACCAAGAAAATGTATAGGAAACTTCATTTTTCAGGTGCACTTTAAAAAGCTGAACAGGAGTTGGAAGTAATCTTTCCATGTTGCATTGAAAAGCTAAAGCAGGTTAAGAGGAAACACCCCAATTTGAGATTAAAATAGAATCATTGCTGTCTTGGTTGTTTAATGTCTTCTACAATATAAATATTTAAATTAGTTCATATTTGATTATTCCTTAAATTTATTACCTTGGATTTAAAAAGAATAAAAGGGTATCCACAGACTCTGTTATGCTGGCTTTGTTTTACTTCTATCACATTTTTTTCAATTTTTCATATATGGAGTTGTTATAGCTGTCCCCAAATACCCCTTATTTCCCCATCATTTCTCTGATCTGAACCGTACAAAATAGTGAAGACGGTGTTTGCATTGACTTAACTAATCAAACCATTTACTTTCAATTCTCATTTTTTTCAGGGAAGATGGATGTTTGCAGTGATAAAGGATCAGTTAACATAACCCTCTTGCTTCTAATTTAATAACTCTTTTTTCCAAAACGATAACAACAAATGTTTCTGGCATTTTTTTTTGCATTTCATGTAATTAAATATATATGTATACTACCCACAAAATTGTTATTTCTTACTAAAACGGTTGCATTGTTTCTTTCATTGCTGTTAAGGTACCATACTTTATATCTGAAAATCTCTTAAACTTTCCTGATGCCTCTTCCAAATGAGTAAATTATATTAGACTAGAATTATTGTAAATGCCAGTTTCACTTCCTTTTGAAAGATTAGGCAAGAAAACTCTTTTTATTTAATCATTCAATTGCTAATTATTCTCTGTTCATATTTTTCTGTATTATAATACTTACAATGAGGTCTTGGAAAATGCTCATTTCAAATATTGATTATTATCAGGAAAAATCTCGTGTTCTCAGAAAGACTCTCCATAAGACCTCCAATGGAAAAAATATCTTTCTGTGTATGTCATAGTTGTTTAGTAATTAATAGATAAAAGGAAAAAAATGCCGCCTTTTCCCTTGGGTTTTTTTCTTTCTTGTTGTTGCCGTTGTTGATTTTGTGCCTGTCTTTCTGGCTTGCCTTTAAACGGCTTTAGGCATGGCGACACGCGTTAACTCCAAAAAGCGCTCCTTGACGAGCTCAGGTAGTTCGAATAAAGTGACTCAAGAAAGTGAAAAATGTTCCTGTTGTGTTTGATGCTTTTGAAATTTTCCATGTCATGATGGTTTGCCCGAGGACATACTTTCTCACTTTCAGAAAGTTGTTTTGCCACACCTGCCAACGGAGTCCTTCGACAAGTTTCTTTTTATAGTGCTTTTACAGAATATTGTGCCAAGTTGAGTTGAAGTTTGCTAAAACTTTTACATTTTTTCAAGCAATAACCCTTTATCTTGATTTCATTTTATGGTAAAAAGCTGGTATATTTCTTGATGTATTTCAGAAGGTATTAAGCAGGTATTCTGTACTTCCCTCATGATCATAGAGTTCACTCATCAAACCACTGCATTTGGAAAAACGAGTGATAAACAGTAAGATTTTTCTTTCTTTCTTTTAAATTTTACTCGAGAGATTTAAATCGTTTTTAAAGATTTTAACCTTCAGCAATGTGTACTTTATTTTGTGGTAAAAGAGTTTTTTCTGTATTATGCCTTTTGATAGATATCATACTTAAGTATTGTATAGGAGAATGTATAACATTAATTACTGCCTACTCTGTGGCAGGCATTAGATATGATTTAAAGTGCATCATCTCATTAAACCCTAAGGATATCACTTGAGTATATGAAGCTTTTTTAATAATTAGAATCAGGGGTATGAAACATGTAAGCCAATTGTCCAAAGACAGATTTGGTTAATGTCGTTTTTATTTCAAGTTTACATAATTGCCAAAAAGATTCTTTTCTTGACTTCATATCATTATTGATGTGGTAATTCCTATGTAACACTGACATTGCGATGACTACATAGGAAAACTTCTCGGGCTCCAAGGCTCTATGGGAGATAGATGTTTGGTGGTGATTTAGAGAAATTATGTTGTGCTTTCTCATGAGGTACCCTTCTTACCCTCGATAAAAGTAAGAAACAGACTTCTCATTACAATCTCATTTAAACATTTTCTCCCTAGGCTAAATCACCACAAAGCACACAGACACATAAAAATCAAGTTGGAACAGAAAAGAGAGCAATTGAATGAACCAAATATTTCAATTTCCAAGGAAACATCATTTTTTTTTCCCCAGGGAAAATAAGTAAAACCAGTAGAGTGGATCCACATTTTTCACAGATTCTGTAATTACAAATTCCCATGCTTACTAACATTTCTGTGGGGTCCCCAGATCACACTCATGGTGCTTTTGTGGTCACTTTAGGACATGCACAAAGTGGCAAAAATTTTTAATCACCGGACATGCATGTTCCCAGCTAATATCACATAAGGCGATTCTCCGTCTTCTTGTTCCAGCTCTCATACTGAAACCTGTCCTTTTTTAGTGTATTTAGTACCTTGCTTTTGCATTTTTGTGCTTTTTGTTAGTGATGTCATTGTTTAAAATGGCCTCCAAGCAAACAGCTGAAGTACTGTCTAGCATCCCTAAGCACAAGAAGGCTGTGAGATGCCTTATGGAGAAAAACACTTTTCAGTAAGATTTGTTTAGACATGAATTATAGTGCTATTGATTATGAGTTCAAATTTTAAATTATATATTGACAAATTATTGATGCATATATTTATGGGGTACAAAGTGATATTATGGTTTTTGAATACAATTTGGAATAAATCAAATAAGGCTAATTAACCTATCCATCACCTCAGGCTGAGCTTGCCGTGAGCTGAGATTGCGCCACTGCACTCCAGCCTGGGCGACAGAGTGAGACTGCGTCTCAAAAAAAAAAAAAAAAAAAAAAACAACCATATCCATCACCTCAAATATTTAACATTTTTGTGATGAGAAGATTTTAAACTTAATCTCAGTGATTTTGGAATGTACGATACTCAATTATTATCTATATCTATCATGCTATGTAATAGATTTTGTTTAAAAAAAGAAACAAACTTATTCTTCCAATCTAACTGAGGCTTTGTGCTTTTTGTTTATCATCTCCCCATTGCTCCCAACCCCCAGCCTCTGTTAACCAGAGTTCTACTCTGCTTCTAGGAGTTCAGGTGTTTTAGGTTTCATATATAAGTGAGAACATGTAATATTTGTCTTTCTGTGTTTAGCTTGTTTCACTTAGTGTAACATTCTCCAATTCTGTTCATGTTGTGGACATAAATGATGGAATTTCATTCTTATTTACAGCTAAATTGTATTCCAATGTATATGTGTAACACATTTTTTATCCTTTTACCTGTTGATCCACACTACTTTTGATTCCATAATTTGACTATTGTAAATAGTGCTGCAATTAACATGGGAGTGCAGACATCTCTTTGACATAGAAATTTCAAATATTTTGAGTAAACACCCAGGAGTAGGATTTCTGAATTATATGGTGATTCTGTTTATAGATTTTCAGAGAAATCTTCATACTGTTTTTCATAATGGTGTACTAATTTACATTCCCACCAACAGTATACAAGCATTCCCTTTTCTCTACATCATCACCAACACTTGTTATCTTATGTATTTTTGATAATAGTTATTCTAACAGGTGTGAGGTGACATCTCATTGTGGCTTTCATTTGCATTTCCCTAATGATTAGTAAAGTTGAACATTTTTTCATATATCGAATATTCATTCATATATCTTTTTATTGAAAAAAATATTTATTCAGGTTTCTTACCTACTTCTTAATCAGATTATTTGATTTTTTCCCATAGAGTTGAGTCCTTATATATTTTGAATATTAATCACATGTATGGCTTATAAATATTTTTTTTCAAATGCATAGATTGTCTCTTCAGTCTGTTAATCATGTTCTTTCCTGTGCAGAAGCTTTCTATTTTGATGTAAACCAATTTTCTATTTCTTACTTTGGTTTCTTGCGCCTTTGTGATCAAACTTAGAAAGACCAATGTTGTATGTTTTTTCGCTATATTTTCTCCTAATAGTTTTATAGTTTCCAGTCTTATGTTTAAGTCTCTAAACTGTTTTGAGTTAATTTCTGTATGTGATGTGAGATAAGGGACTAATTTCATGCTTTTAAATGTGGATATTTAGTTTTCCCAATACGATTTATTAAAGAGACTGTTTTCCATTCTATATTCCTGGCACCTTTGCCCAAAATCAATTGATCATAGCTATGAGGGCTCATATCTGGACTCCTTATTTCCTTCCATCGGCTGATGTGTCTCTGTTTATGCCAGATTGCTAGTTGATTATTTTTTGGGGGGGGTGTGAAGCTTTAGACCTCCTATTTTGCTATCTTGGTGATAACACAATGATGAGTTCAATGTTAACGAATCAACTATATATTAAGAGAGATTAACATGAAACAAGATTATGTATTGAGTGCTTAAGAAAAATGCTGTGACAAGAAATTACTGGGGACCTAACCCTGTATTTCCCACAGGAACAATAGTTCAATATACGCCAACTGAGGTTTTGTGGCAACTTTATAGAATACAACTACTTTGAATGATGAGAATTGACTACAGTTGGTATTTTCCTAAAGTATCAGAGTGGGCAAATCTGGGTTAAAATGTACTCATCCAAACTAGAACTTTGAGAACATTCATCCTTTTACCCCAAAAACAAGTACAGTCTACCAATTGTAACAATGAGTCTAGAAAGAAAAAATATCACTCAGTAAAAAAAGGAAGGAAAATAGCACGTAATCTAACAGATGACATAGCGCCTGAAAAACAATTGAACTTTTCTCACTCTGCTTTTTCCAAAGCAGGTACTATTATATAATTTTAAAATGTGATCTCCATTAAATATTAAAGACTATGTTTCTTTAAAATTGATAAACACAAAATATGAGTGTAGTATGTTTTGCATCTATGTTTATGTTATGGACCTCTTAGGAAGCCCTATACTTCTTTACAAATACTTCAGCATTACTCAACTTTTGAGTAGTATCAAGGTTACTATTTTCCTCCCATCTTCAATACAACTTTCACAGTTTAAACACTGAGAAATTAAGATCCTACTTAAAGAAATAGTTGTTTCTTTTATGTAGTAATATAGAAAAAAATGAAGATCAGATATGATATTTTTGAGTGTATTTTTTACGTAAATTGTTTTTCAAGGATGAATATGTTTCTATTTGTAAAAAAAGGCATAAAAGTGAGAAACATTTTGAACTGTTTTATTAGTTAACTTATGCACAATATATAAACAGTAATTAAAATTTAGAGATAGAAAACTTAAAAAATATTACCGTGGTTTTTGAACCTACTTATTTAAAATATTTAAGTGTTAATATTTTTATTTGTTTCTATGAGTATAAAATCCCTATTAATAAGTTTTGTCTTTTATGCTATCTAAATTTAGAGCAGAAATGTATATTCATTTCTTATTTTCTAGTACTAATACTTAAATTGACTATATATATATATACATATACATACACACATATATTCACAATGTAATTTGGTAAATACCAGTATCTGCACTGACTTATTTATCAAATATTTTGGTCTCCATATCCATAACCATTTTTCTGAAATTTCTAATTAGTGATTTTACTAGACCTGTACTTTTGCCGACATAATACGTTTAGAACAGTTATTATTCACCGTTAGTCCAAAAGGACTCAACTTCTGCTGTATCTTTTATTATGATCTAACCTCAGAAGTCACACAGTGTCTTGCCCTTTTAGTGGAGGCAGTCACAATGGACCACTCAGATTCATGAAAGATTCTGCTTGATGAGATGGTAGAAAGATTCTCAAAGTATATATGAGTTGGAGAATACAGTCATTTTGTGGAAAATACAATCTATCACAGCTATCTTCCTACTAAATGGGGCCAAAGAGCTAAGTTGTAACTGAGCAAGGGTTTCCAAGAATGTTTCTTTTTTTACTGGTTCTTTGTTACTAGCTCACGGAACATAGTATATTTGCTTCCTCTGCTTGCCATGATCATGTAACTGTAACTGTAGGCCCATGACTTTCAAAACTTCTGTATCCTTGTCAGTTAAATTATAAGTTACTACATAATTGAAAATTAAACATGATTACTTGAAAAATTTTATCAATCCAGTCTAACTCCCCAAATTATACTGTTACATGTAATTTAATTAATCCAGACTCTAATTTTTCAAGGATTTTTCCATATTTACTCTCATCCATATTCCCCTGCAGATTGTTTCATTAAAACCAATTTATATACTTTTTGACTACTTTGACTAAATTATGTACAAAAACACATAATTATTGATATCAAAAAGACCTGAGTTTTTATCTAACCAATTTCCTAAATTTAGAGGTCATTGAAATAAGTTACTACTAGAGCAAAGTAGTTGCTAAAATGTTGCATAGTTAGCTAATAGCAAAAAAAAAAAAAAAGATTGAGATCCTATTTTGATATAGAGTCTGGGCTACATGCTGTAAATACAAATAATGCATAACACTTCCTTTCTTTCTTTCAGTAAGTACTTATGTACTGCATATTATATGCCAGGTATTCATTATATACACATGTGCTATTTGTACTGAGAGTACATCTTAATGAGAGTAGACATAATTTTTTAAATAATCGTGTACACACACACACACACACATAATGAGCATGGGGAGCACTATGATATGGGGAAGACAATAGTGATTTCGCCCTTATGAATATTATGTTCTTGTAGGAACAAACATATGATGAATTTTTTTTAAGTATGCTTAGAGTTTGAAGGCAAGATGGCTGACTAGAAGCAGTGGGAACAACTCCCACTGAGAGACGAAGACATCAGAAAGAATGGCACACGCCAAGTAGAACAATATAGGAAAGGCAATGAGAGGGGACGGAGGGAGGACACAGACCATGGGCTTAAGGGGGTGGAAGCTAAGAACCCTACATGAGGTTGTCAAGCACTGTGACTTATTTCTGGCCCCTGGCAGCTCACATGGAATGGGTGAATTAAACAGGTGAGAAATGATAGACTCTCACCATGGATGTCCAGAAACCTTGCTGCAAGAGACCCTCACAAAACCCATGGACACCTGAGCTGACAAGGAGGGCTGCTTGGAGAGGTGGCAGGAGTAGGACTCCAGCCTATGTGGAGTCCAGAGGATTTGGTGTGGGAATGGCTGCAGTGGAGCATGGCCAGAGCACCTGTTCTCTAAAGCTTGCCACGCTTCTCTAGGTGGTTTTGGTCTTTGGCAACTGTCAGACCTGGACAGATGCGGAGTAGTCTTGCCTGTGGGATAGGGCCAGTCCAGTCTGAGAGCCTCCCTGTCTGCTGGCCTCTCTTGGGGGCCCAGCCTGGCTGCAACCACTTGCAATGTAGCCTCAGATGCCCAACCAGGGTGCTTCCAGGGCCATCATCATAGTTCCTTTGCCGGCATACTGCAACTAACCATCAGAGAGCTCCAGCAGACTAGCCCCTACTAATGCACACCCACCCACCTACAGCCTCCTCCTACCACAGCCTCCACCTGCCACTTTACTGGTGTGCATTTGCCCTTGGCCCTTCTCCACCACATTACCAGCAAGCACACATGGGTGGATCTCACCTACCCTCCCCAACTGGTGTGCATTTGTGCACACAACCCACTGTACCACCACTGCAAGTGTTAGAATGTGTGCACGAATACTGGTGCCTTACCCCCATTGGTGCCCCACTCTCACCAACATGTAGACACCTTGCTGTGTCGCCACCACCATTGCAAGCATGCACACAGATGTCACCACCCCATCCTCTTTGGTGGTCTGCCCAGATGACACATGCATACCTTGCTGAGTCACCATTGCTGCTGGTACATGCAAGTGAGTATGGATCCTGCTGCCACTAACCTGACAAACCCCCCATCAGAGTGTTGTTGCTAGAGGATTGGGAACACCTGGGCCCCTCTGGCATAGCAGGTTCCTAACCTTCAGGGGACATAGAACACAATTGGGGGCCTGGTACCTGCTCCCCAGCGTTAGAGTGTGCAGCTGAAGAGTTCTTAGCTCTTTAAAATCTTCCAGAAATGAAGCAAGTCAACTGAATCCATTTTATACCATAATCAAGCCCTCAAGGCCATCAAATAATATAAAAGAAAAGACACCAACCAAAGGGCAGCAACTTCAAAGATGAAAGTAACATCAGATCATACAGATAAGAACTAATACAAGACATCTGGCAATTTTAAAAGCCAGAGTGTTTTCTTATAGCCAAATGACTGCACTAGTTTTCCAAAAATGGTTCTTTTCTTTTCTTTTTTCTTTTCTTTTCTTTCCTTTTCTTTTCTTCTCTCTCTCTCTCTCTCTCTCTCTCTCTCTCTCTTTCTTTCTTTCTTTTTTTTGATGGAGACTTCCTCTGTCAAACAGGCTGAAGTGCAGTGATGTGATCTTGGCTCACTGCAACTTCTGCCACCCAGGTTCAAGCAATTCTCCCTCTTTAGACTCTCAGATAGCTGGGATTAAAGGCATGCACCACCACACAAATCTAATTTTTTTTTTTTTTTTTTGGTAGAGATGGGGTTTCACCATGTTGGTCTCGAATTCCTGACCTCAAGTGATCCACCCACCTTGGCCTCTCAAAGTGCTGGGATTACAGACATGAACCACTGCACCTAGTCCCAGCAATAGTTCTTAACCAGGCTTAAATGGCTAAAATTATAGACATGGAATTCAGAATCTGGATAGGAGCGAAGATCATTAAGATTCAAGAGAAAGTTGGCTGGGTGCAGTGGCTCAAGCCTGTAATCCCAGCACTTTGGGAGGCTGAGGTGGGCAGATCATGAGGTCAGGAGATCGAGACCATCCTGGCTAACACGGTGAAACCCCATCTCTACTAAAAATACAAAAAAAAAAAAAAAAAAAAAAAAAAAATTAGCTGGGTGTGGTGGTGGTCACCTGTAGTCCCAGCTACTCGGGAGGCTGAGGCAGGAGAATGGCGTGAACACAGGAGGCGGAGCTTGCAGTGAGCCGAGATAGCACCATTGCACTCCAGCCTGGGCGACAGAGCAAGACTCCATCTCAAAAAAAAAAAAAAAAAAGATTCAAGAGAAAGTTGAAATTCAATTCAAGGAATCTTAGCAATCCAATAAAATGATACAGGAACTGAAAGATGAAATAGCCATTTTAAGAAATAGCCAAACTGATCACATAGAGCTAAAAAACATACAAGAATTGTATAATAAAATTGCAAGTATTAACAGAAGCATAGACCAAACTGAGGAAAGAATCTTAAAGATCAAAGAATGGGACATGGAATAAACTTACTCAGAAAAAGTAAAGAAAATAATAAAAAGGAGTTGAAAAAGTATCCAAAAGCTATGTTTTGTAAAGCAACTAAATCTGTGACTCATTGACATTCCTGAAAGAAAGGAAGAGAAAGCACGCAACTTGGAAAATGTATTTAAGGATATTGTTGATAAAAATTTCCCCAGCCTCACTAGAGATGTTAATATTCAAATTCAGGAAATGCAGAGAACTCTGGTTAGATAATACAAGATGATCATCTCCAAGACACATAGTCATCAGATTATCCAAGGCCAACAGGAAAAAACATATATTAAAGACAGCTAGAGAGAAGAGGCAGGTCACCTACAAAGGTAACCTTATTAAGCTAACAGTGGACCTTTTATAAGAAACCATACAAGCCAGAAGAGATGGTGGGGGGCTATATTCAACGTTCTTACATAAAAGAAATTTCAACCAAGAATTTTGTATCCAGCCAAACTAAGCTTCATAAGCAAAGGAAAAATAAGATCCTTCTTAGGTAAGCAAATGCCATGGGAATTCATTATCACCAGAAGTGTCTTACAAGAGGTCCTTAAGGGGTGCTAAATATGGAAACAATAGACCATTACTGGCCACGACAAAACACAGTTAAATACATAAATCATTGACACTATAAATCAAAGATACATCAAGTCTGCATAATTACCAGATATCAACACAATGACAAGATCAAATCTGCACATATCAATATTAATCTTGAATGTAAAGGCCTAAATACTCGCAATTAAAAGGCACAGAGTGGCAAGTTGAGTAAAGAAGAAAGACCCCTCTGCTGTCTTTAAGAGACTCACAAGCTCAAAGTAAAAGAATAGAGAAAAATCTACCAAGCAAACTGAAAGCAAAATAAATAAATAAATAAATGAAATAGCAGGGATTGCTATTGTAAATTCAGACAAAAGACTTAAACTAACAATGTCCAAAAAGACAAAATACAATATCTAATGGTAATGGGTTCAATCAACAAGAATTAACTATCCTAAATATATATGTACCCAACAAAGGAGCACACCAATTTATAAAACAAGTTCTTAGAAACCTACAAGAGACATAGATAACCACACAATTAGAGTGGTAGACTTCAACACCCCACAGACAGTATTAGATTATGGAGGCAGAAAACTAAGAAAGATATCTGGGACCTGAACTCAACACTTGACCAAATGGAAATAACAAACATCTACAGTACTCACCACACAAAAACAACAGAATATACGTTCTTCTTATCTGCCCACAGCACATACTCTATATTCACCACACAATCAATCATAAAAAAATTCTCAACAAATTAAAAAAAATCATACCAACAAAACATGGACCACAAGTTTTGGACCGTAAAGTTCATTGACATTCAAGAGACACACAATAAATACAAAAATCCATACTAAGAAGATAGCATAAAACCATAGAATTAAGATGACAAAAATCATACAAAATATCAACAAAAATCAGAAGTTGATTGTTTGAAAGAATACATAAGATTGATTGGTTGCTAGCTAGACTACTAAAGGAAAAAAAGAGAGAAGATCCAAAAAAAATAAACACCAATCAAAATGAGAAAGGAGATATTGCTACCAAAACCACTGAAACATAAAATATCCTCACAGACAATTATAAACACCTCTATGCACAGAAACTAGAACCCCCTGGCCCCCCAAAAGGATAAATACCTGGAAACACTAAATCCCCAAAAATTGAACCAGGAAGATATTGAGTCACTACAGAGACTAATAACAAGTTCTAAAATTGAATCAGTAATAAAAAGCCTAACAACCAGAAAAATTCCTGAACCAGACAGATTCACAGCCAAATCCTACCAGATCTATAAAGAAGAGCTGGCAATACTTCTCCTAAAACTCTTCCAAAAAAATTTAGGAGGAGGGACTTTTCCCTAACTTATTTCTACGAGGCAGTATCATTCTGATACAAAAACCTAGCAGAGACACATACAAAAATCCTCAACAAAATACTAGCAAATGGAATCCAGTAGCACTTTGAAAAGCTAATCCACCCTGATCAGGTAGGCTTTATGCCTGGGATGCACGGTTGCTTCAACATACACAAATTTATAAATGTGATTTATCACATACACAGGGCTAAAATTGAAAATCTCATGACCATCTCAATAGATGCAGAAAAGGCTTTCATTAAAATTCAAAATCCCTTCATTTTAAACACCCTCAACAAATTAGGCATTGAAGAAACATACCTCAAGATAATAAAAGTTATCCACCTGTGAAAACACCACAGCAAATATCATGCTGAATAGACAAACACTGGAAGTCTTACCCTTGAGAACCAGGACAAGACAAGGATACCCAATCTCACCACTTCTAGTAAACATAGTGCTGGAAGTCCCAGCCAGAGCAATCAGACAAGAGAAATGAATAAAAGACATCCAAATAGGAAAAGATGAAGTCAAACTATCTGTTTAAAGATGATATGATTTTATACCTGTAGTCACTGTCCCAAAGCTCCTAGATCTGATAAACAACTGTGGCAAAGTTTCAGGACACAAAATCAAGGTACAAAAATCAGTAGCATTTCTACACACTAACAACATCCAATCTGAGAGCCAATTCAAGAACACAATCTCATTTACAATAGACACACTCACACACACACACACCTAGGAATACAGCTAACCAAGGAGGTGAAAGATTTCTACATTGAAAATTACATAACATTGCTGAAAGAAATCAGAAATGACACAAGCAAATGGAAAAACATTCCATGCTCATGAATAGGAAGAATCAATATTATTAAATGGCCATACTGCCCAAAGCAAAACTACCAATGACATTTTTCACAGAATTCGAAAAAAACTTTTTTAAAATTCATGTGGAACGAAAAAAGAGCCTGAATAGTCAAATTAATTCTAAGCAAAAAGAACAAAGCTGGAGGCATCACATTACACAACTTCAAACTATAATACAAGGCTACAGTAACCAAAACAGCATGGTACTTGTACAAAAACAGACACATAGACCAACAGAATAGAATATAGTGCCCAGAAATAAAGCTGCACACCTATCACCATTTTATAGTTGACAAAATTGACAGTAACAAGTCCATTCTCACACTGCTATGAAGACATACCTGAGACTGGGTAACTCATAAAGAAAAGAGACTTAATTGGCTCATGATTCTGTAGGCTGTACAGGAAGCATGACTGAGGAAGCCTGAAGAAACTTACAATCATGGTGGAAAGCAAAGAGGAATGAGGCGTATCTTCACATGGCCAGAGCAGGAGGAAGAGACAGAGAGAAAGGGGAATTTCTACACACTTTCAACCACTGGATTTCATGAGAACTCTATCATGAAAACATCAAGGGGGAAGTCCACCCCCATGATTCAATTGCCTCCCACCAGGCCCCTCCTCCAACACTGGGAATTACAATTCAACATGAAATTTGGATAGGGACACAGAGACAAACCATATCAACAAGTAATGGACAAGGAACTCCCTATTCAATAAATGGTACTGAGATAACTGGCTAGCCAAATGCAAAAGATTGAAACTGAACTCGTTCCTTTTACCATATACAGAAATCAACTCAAGATGGATTCAACACTTAAGTGTAAGTCTAAGACTGTAAACACCCTTGAATAAAACCTAGGAAATACCATTCTGGACATAGGCCCTGGCAAACATTTTATGATGAATATGGCCAGATCAACTGCAACAAAAATAAAAATTAACAAATGGGACCTAATTAAACTAAAGAGCTTCTGCACAACAAAAGAAACTATCAACAGAGTAAACAGATAACCAACAAAGCTCTAATGTATAAAATCTATACATTAACTTAAACAAATTTAAGTTATACATTATATAACTATACATTAACTTAATCTATACATTAACTTAAATTTACAAACAATCAACAAACAACCCCATTAAAATGTGGGAAAGAACATGAACAGACACTTTTCCAAAGAAGGCATGCACACATCCAAAAAACATATGAAAAAATCCTCAACATCACTCATCTTTAGAGAAATGCAAATTCAAACCACAATGAAATACCATCTCACACTAGTCAGAGTGACTCTTACTAAAAAAGTCAAAAAGTAACAGATGATGGTGAGATTACAGAGAAAAGGGAACACTTATACACTGCTGGTGGGAATGTGAGTTAGTTCAACCATCTTGGAAAGCAGCGTGGTGATTTTTCAAAGAACTTAGAACTACCATTTGACCCAGCAATTCCATTATTTGGGTAAATACCCAAGGGAATAGAAATCATTCTACCATAAACACACATACACGTGAATGTTCATTGCAGCTCTATTCACAATAGCAAAGACAAGGAATCAACCTAGATGCCCATCAGTGGTAGGCTGGATAAAGAAAATGTGGTTCATATACACCACGGTGTAACATGCAGCCATAAAGAAGAATCAGCTCACATCCTTTAAAGCAACATGGATAGAGCTGGAGGTCATTAACCTAAGCAAATCAACACAGGAACAGAAAAACAAATATTGCCATCTTCTAACTTATAAGTGGGAGCTAAACATTTAGTACACATGGATACAAATAAGGAAACAATAGCCACCAGGTCCTACTTGAGGGTGGCGGGTGGGAGAAAGGTGAGGATTGCAAAACTACCTACTGGGTAGCATGTGTGTTACCTAAGTGACAAAATAATTTATACACCACACCCCCATGACACATAATTTACCTGTATAACAAGTTCATACATGTACTCTCGATCCTAAAATAAAAGTTAAAAAAGAAGTATATTTAGTGTAGGTTCACAGGCGCACAGATGATAAAAAAAAAATGCAATCTTACATCTTACTAAATTGTACTCAGCGTTTGTTTATTTATCTGTAAAATAATGCATCTATTCTAATTTTCCATAATAAATATTCTATCTCAAAATATATGTATCTAATTCTAAAATAAGAATTTCTCATTGCAGTTGAACTTAAAATGCACCATATCAATGTCTTTGATGTCAATTTTTTTTGCAAGGTATCTTAAAATTATTGGCACTTCTTGGTTTAAAAAAGTTAGATTAAATTTTACATAATAGCAAGAAATATTATCTTAATGAAACCTTTTCTATTATGAGCTAGAAATATAGTGATTCTGAATATTCAACTGTACTTAATGCTAATATCTAAAATCATTTTCTGAATATTAAACCAGTTATTTTCTGAGGGGAGTAGTAGACTGTTATACTGAAAAACAAAGTCTGTATTCTATCATTCTAGCAAAAGCAAGCAATCATAAATATAATTTTCTATGAGCATAATAGAAGTGATTGTTTATGAATATATTTGGATTATTTTATCTCATTTAGCTATTGATTAAATCTTCATTTACATGATATTTTTTGCTATGTGAAACTGACTTTATATACTATAAATCTATATATCTATATCTAGAATAAAACATTAAACAAATAAATGAAAGAGATGACATTTAAAAGGATTCTTCTGAACCTATTAAATCCATGAGAGAAACTGCTTATCAATGCTTCCTTTACAGACCATAGTTGAAAGTATAATGAAAAGCAGGTAACAAATATTCTTCTAGTTCTGCTGTTAGAACAAAATACTGAGTACAATTCTACTGTGACACATTAAATATATGGAACTTGTATAATTTTAGATAAGTTAGTCAAGATCTATTCTGGTAATTACATTATATTAACCAAAATTGCCCATCTATTTATCTCGGTTCTCTTTATTGTGTTACAGAAAATTAACTAAATAAAAAGGTTAATTCACTGCTTCCAAAAGGATAAACCAATGTTTGAAAACTTGAACCATGAAGAAAAATACATATTTGGACAAATGATAAATAAATTTATATAGGGACTATAAAATTTATGTATAAGATACATTTATCAAATATTTCTATCTGTGGAATTTTATTTATAAAAATTCCAAACCAATATGTTTTAGGCAAAGCTTATTGAACAATCGCAAATATTTATTTCATATTATTTGTGTTTAATTCCTGAGAGAAATATAAAAAGATATATTTTTTTTCCTTTTAAGGTATGAATTCTGTAGTTTAGGTAAGGCATACTACAGCAACTATCAGCAAGGATTTTAGAGTTAGGCCGAGGAAGATTCAAGCCTTGGGAAAGTAAACTAAGTGATCTGAACTTTTGTTTTCTCATCTATAAAGTGAGGATAATAACCATGACTAATTTACAGTGTTATGAAAAGTGAAATGATTAGCACAATGCCTAATATTTAACAACAGTTTAAACAATGTTTTATATTATATTATATTATTTTTGTTAGCAACACTGGATAGTATTTGATCCAAAGCAATTAAATTTAACATAATAGAGCAATTTTTTTCATAAGACTCAAAGAAGACCATCAAATGTTGATGATTTTGCTGTGTATTAAGATAAAGCCAGCTGAAGAGTCCCTTGGAAATACTATTTTACATTCAACACAAATATTTGCAGTGATAGTGATTATGATTACTTGGCCTAGGAGTGAAACCACTAATGGCTATTAATTTGGAAAGAAAATGAAACATTTTTGGATAATCATTCTCTTTATCCATTGTAGTTCCTTGATCCTACTCTGTGCATCTGCGTGACAGACGATAAAGAAAAAAAATGTTGAAATGTGTCAGAGAAAATATAATTTTTAAAAATAAACATCCAAAGATCACACTGGTTCAGGAAGGAACAGACGGATGATAGAGGTCTAAGAATAACATAATCTGACTTTTCAGGAAAATTATGTGTAGAGCCTTTTTTTTCTTTTTGTAAGAAAAAGAGTTTTTCAACTTATTCAATTGATTACTGTCTTGAAAATAGAACTATATAAGCTCCACCATTCTACTTATGAAGACAAGATGTTTATAGTTACTGTGGCATCATCAAATGGCATTGTCAGTCAAAGTCAACACAATTGACTTACAGATCATTGCTCTCTATGGGCTCTATGAAATGATAAAACGAAGACTAAGGGGTTTAGTAGTGTTGAGGTTATGAACCTACGTACAGTAGCAAAGATAGAAACGCTTCTCCAACCTTTGTATTTATGAACCAAGTGGAGATGTTGCTAAATGCAGTAAATCTGTTTTGTAATGTGAAATCCCACATTTTTCACAAGTTCTCAGGTCGTGTGGATCCTGCAGGCTTGTGAACCAATATTCTGATTAGCAAGGTCTTAGGACACACCATCAAGATGTGGAACCAGATTACTGGGGGCTCAGTACTCTTGCTTAATTCAAATCCTTAACATAAGCATATGTCATTTTATTCACATTATTTCTTAATATAATCTATACATCTTTTTAGTTTTTATATTTATTGATTTGAAACAAATAAAAAATGTGGCCTACATTTTTTGATATCCTAGAAAATTCTTGCTAAAAGTCATGATACATGAACCTGGCAAATCACCAAGCACCTTAGGCGAGTGTATTTTGAATTTAAAGATACATGTAGTTGCCCAAAAACATTTTTTGTAATGAGCAGAACATTAACATGATAAAGTTACTTGCTGCATTTTTAAGTAATTCAAAGACATGTTTCCACTCTATTTTAAGAAAAATCTGTGGTGTGTTTCAAATCCTAGTAATTGACATAGTTTAGAAGACTCAATGATATAGCCAAGCTGGAATTTGTGGAAGGACTATGAAAATATGCAGTTATGTTCCAGAAGAGGCTGGAGTTAATCTGTATAACGAATGCTTGGACATAGTCACCAGCCATTTCAGTTCTAGGACTTCTCCAAAGAGGAAATTGCCAGTGAGATTGTTTAGGCATGATTTTTCTTATTTTAGAATGAGGAAGTCTAGGCTTAAAGAGATTAATCATTTGTCCAAGTTTCCAAATATAGCAAGAAAAATGTCAGGATTCAAATTCAAGTTGGGTGATTCTAATTGCCTATTCTTTTAACAAATGCATCTTGTTGCAGGACAGGTGAGCCCCAGAATTGGAGCTTAGCCCAGGAGGGTTCTTGGCAGCACCCAGGAAAGAATTCAAGAGTGAGCCAGTGGTGTTAGCAATCTTTCATTGGATGGTACTGCTCCTTGCAGAACAGAGCTAATTCACGGGCAGTGTACACAGAGTAGGCAATGTATGGGTTGGCAACTGTATGTGTACTTACATAAACTCACTTTCCGTTTCATGCAAATTAAGGGGTGGATCAATGCAAATTGAGGGGTGGGTTATTCAGACCTTTCTAGGAAAAGGTTGTTAAGTTCTGGGTCGTTGGCATGGCATTTATAAACTGTCATAGTGCTGATGGGAGTGTCTTCTGCTAATGAGCAATGAGGGCAAATAGGGATCTCTTTTGTTGCCATCTGCTGGTTCCTGACTATTTTTGCTTTATTCAGTCTGGACCAGATCCTGTTTTAGTCAGCAGGGTTGTGACTAGAAAATAAGTCCTGCCAGTCTCCCACCTTTTGAGGTTATTTGAAGGACTTCTCCTGATGCACTAATGCATTCAATTAGACATTTGTAGCAACCAGTCTGATTTCTGTGAGAAATTTGTGATTAAGGTTTGTGTTTAAGTATATTTCCTAAAGTTCTATCTCCTGACACAACTCTTCTGTAAATTTTTGAACACTTGGATAACATATTTTAATCTTTGCCAATGTCTCTCAACATTATAGCACTTTTTAATTATATCCTACATAAAATCTTTGTTAATTTGATACTAGTAAGTAAATATTTGTTTCAAAGTTTGTTCTCACAAACAATAAATAAAAATATATATGTTCCTGAAATATTGGTCTTGCATTACTATCTATAATAGACAAATATTGACAGAGAAAACTGTTAATTTCTAAGTGCAATTTTAAAATAAATCTGTTTTCTTATCTTTTATAATACATTAGAACATTTTTGGAGCTTTTAAAGAAAAATATTATTTTCTAAGATAAATATTTATACAATACATATTTATGAAATACATATTCAAAGTAACATAATATTTTTAAAATTTCTCATTTTATGTCATCTTTACAATAACAGAATCAAAAATATAAAGATTAAAATTTTACCTGTTTATCAATGTTAATAATGATGGAGTCCTCTCCTCATTTTCATTACAAAGAGACTTACCCAGTGAAAAAGAAACTATGCAGAAATGCAATATTATTCTACTTGTTTTTTCATTTATCCAGGAGAAATTTTATTCAAAGATCTCATTCTCTGATGTGGAAAACAAGAATATAATAGTCATTTCCACACGTATCTGACCCAGAGAATTAGAGAGTCAATCTTTACTGTGCAGTCAGGATAAGAAAAAAAAAAATGTAGTCATCAGCAAAGTCAAAAATATTCAGAGAAACCCATTTTTACATAATAATTGGAGTCACGACCTTAGCATAGAATAAGGGCAAAATATATTGACTTTCATCCATGGAAAATTTGGACTTCTAATACAGAATATTTTTAAATGTCGGCTATTTTTAAATGCCTGCTTTACACTTGCAGTGGCATTAACCCTGCTAGAAGTGTTCCTTAATGCAGTCTAATTGACAGTCTGAATATGAGGCCGAGCCACCTCAGCAGCCCTTATGCTAACCACCCAGGCTGTGGTCCCTGAACAGAGAACAGTTGATGGTTTCAATTATACTGGGGTCATAGTATCATTGGCCTGATACTTTTCAAATGGTCAGAATTATGTTTCCAAAGGTTCATTACTATGATTTTATGGGGGATGTCATCACTTACAAATGAAAGTAACACAAGAAAGTGCTTAGTCTTCTTAGGAAGCTAAAAAATCTTCTCTAGAAAAATGAAAAATTTGTACAGCTTCTAACATTTAGGAGAAAAGGAATTACACAAGTTATTATCTTGTATTTGAGGCAGTCTACATACAATTATATCTGACACAAAAGTTATGTTTTAGCAGAAGTACATTCATTTTTATTGTATCCATCATACTTATATATTTGTTACAAATAAAAATACAGTTATCCTTCTATATCTGCCAGGGATTGGTTCTAGGACCAAATCTGAGCATGCTCAAGTCCCTTACATAAAATAGAATAGTGTTTGCACATAATCTATGGACATCTTTAAATCATTTCTAGGTTACTTATAATATCTAATACAATGTAAATGCTTTGTAAGTTGTTATACTATATTTTTATTTGTATATTTTAGTTGTAGTTTTTTTTAAAAAAATTTTGCTAATATTTTTGATCTGCAGTAGGTTGAGCCTGCAGATGGATCCTGTGGATACTGAAAGCTGACTAACTTTTAAGAAGCAAGTCAGTTTTTAAAACGGTGGGTAAATCAACAAAAACACTTTAACACTTCCTGTATTATTGTATATGGAAAAATTAAGTCTCAAAATTATAAATTAAAAATAGATTCAAACATATATGAGAAATATTTTCAGATGACCACCATATTCTCTTTATAATCCAGTCTGTATACTCTATTGTATTGCTTTTCTACTTTTTATTACATGTTGTAGGTTTTCTTTGTTACTGTTGACAGATAGAAAGGGAATTCTCCAGTTTGTGTTTGAACAGGGGGGCAAATATTTTGTTTATAAAATGAATTCTTCCTTATAAAACATATTTAGCTTCTATTTGAAGAAACATATATTACAGTCTAAATTTAGAGTGCCATCTAGTGATGAATTAAATACACTTAATTTCAAATTCAAGAAGTATTAATGTTTAAATAATGAAAACTTCAATGTAGTTTTTTTGTTAACATGGAAAAATGACAGAATGATCATCATGCATTTAGTATACAGTTAACATGATGATTTAGTGAATTTTATTTATATCATCAACTTGAAAAGACTTGTCCAAATTCAAAAAGATTTAAAACTTACGCAACATGTCTAAACTTAGTAACAATGAAATTGTTTGCATGTAGATTAGGAATCAATTAAGACGCCTTGATGTTTGCATTAAAGTACTCAAAGTTCATTCACAGTAACTGACCATATTTAGGATCTTCTTGGTGTTTACTAGCTACCCAACAAATGCTGGTTGATGGATTAAATTAGATAATAAGTAAAGAATAAATGTTTCAAAATGTAAATATAAAATAGTAACAACAAGAGTATTAAAAACCGAACTCCCATTTTTATAGAATTTGCCAGCTTTGAAAAGTGCTCAAAGCTCATGTTTGAATGATTAAATGGTTTTCCCTAGGCTTAAAATATACATTAAATTTTATAAATTAAATATAATAATTTACGAAAAGGGAAGCAAGGAAAATTTAAAAAGGGATGACAACAGGATGAAAAGGAAGAAAGAGGGGCATGAAAACAAAAGAAAGATCAAGGAAGAGAGAACAGGAAAAGGCAAGGAGGAAAAGACAATCTTACTGTTGATCTGCATTTCTTCCGGATGTTATAACACATATTAATCCATTTATGTCTATATGACAAAGCTCATTCCAATATGAGGGCAGCTGAGATTTAGTCAGGTAATATCAACTTCTATGTTTCAAAATCTAATTTTTCTAATTAATTGTATTCTTTGCATATAAGGGTTAAATAACACTCATTCTAAAAATTTGTAACATAAATGTTTTTACAAAGTGTTTGTACCAATGTTTTGCAAAATTTATTGATTCAGAGGTCTAGATTTGGGTTCACAAGATCTGCATTCTACATCTAATTTCATTATTTACTTTTTATATGATTTTTGGCAAATTACTAAAGCATTTGGGAAAAAAATAATAAAGGTGATTGTTTTCAATGAACTTCAGATATAGTTGACTATATTAAGTCAGTAGTTAAGCCCATTTGCTCTGGTCTAGACGACCTCCTGTTGTTTCATTCTAATATTTGTTTAGGGAGAAACAAATCAACTTTTTTTGCTATAGATCAAAAAGAATGAACTAAACAAGAAAAAATTTTACATGAATTACATGGGAAAGTCAAGACTGATTCTCCTTTAAGCGACAGAATCTTTCAGTAATTAGTATATTTCCTTTAAAATTATTCAAGTTATGATGTGGAGAAAGATGCAGGTTTCAGAAGATGTCATAGGTCTCAGGAACTCTTGTGTTCCTTTAATCCTGACCGATCACCGCATCTGAAATCACCACTTAGATTTTAGGATTTTAGAGCTCTCCAATTATGCGTATTTATGGACTATGTCCAATGCAAGAAGGCATTTTTCATAATCAATCAATTTTTTGTTTTAGAAAATAACATGGGATTTACTTTATATCCAAACAAAAGAATACACTTCACTTTTTATTTTTAAATAGTTCCCATTATCTGACCAAGTTTCTGAAATAATAATATAGTTGATGCTTTCGGGGCAATTTCTTGAAGGGTACTGATATAATATCTATTATATGACAGAAAAATAGCTTCAGCTTCGATCAAGCCAAATAGCTTTGTCCTAATTTAGTATCAGCCTCACCGTGATGATATTTCTGTGGAGATTTGCCAATAACCTACTGTTATCATAGGAAGTGACTTTGGCTCAGGCATTTAGTCAGTGAGCGAGTCACAGGGGACATACCAAAATGAGCATGGCAGTTGCTCCCTTCAAGGGTATGGAGAATTTTCTGTAGCATATCACTTTGTTCTTACCACATTGAGAAAAGAAAAAAATGAAGGTCATGCTAAATATGTTTTGTCTTAGAATGCAGCATTTTCAATAAATGAATTAGGGGAAACTTTGTGCTTGTCAGTAAAAGTTTGCCTTGAGCAAATTGTATTCCCTAGGAGTAGTTGATATTTGTTGTTTTTCGGTGCCCGTTTCTAATTCTAGGTTTTGTTGTTTTTTTTCCCAGAGAATCACTGCTTTTCAATTTCTGTAAACTTGATAGAGTTGTAAATCTAGGTGCCTGTTCTCACAGGGTAGAATCTTAAGGGTGTCCCTAGAGTATCCCTCTGTTACATTAATTTTTCCAACCCTTTCATCTGCTCCCAGACCATAATTAATACATAGGGATTCAGATGACCTAGCTGGAGATTTTTAATTGAAATATATATATATATATATATATTCCATTTTGTACACCATATATATATGTATATACACACACACACACACACACACACACATATATATATATATACATATATATGGTATACAAATTGATTTTTGATATATGGATACATTGTGGAATGGGTACAAATCTTAAACTTTTGCAGCATAACCAAGAACAAAAGAAAGGAAATGGCTTTGAGTTAATGCTTCTGTCAACTAAAAATAAAATCTTAAACCCCCCATCCCCACTGACTGCATGGTTGCCCCCTCAGCCAGGGGAATCCCAGAAATGACTTAGAAACTTAGTTCCCAGCCATGACAAGGCAGGAGGTCAGACATACCTTGTTATAATCCCCTCTCTTTTATGGTTTCAGTACAACATCTGACCAGCATTAATGATAAAATAGAGATCGTAAGACTGACAGAATAGGCTCTTTGTGGCAATAAGATATCAAATTTTAAACAAGACTTAAGGCCATGCCAGGCAAGAGTTCAGTTACACATCCCTAGACTTAAACTACAAAAAATAAACTATGTTCTAATGGCCACAAGGTTTTTCTTTCTCTCTAGCAACTAAACAAGTACTGTCTTCAAGATAAACAATATTAAAATAATCACAACTCATCCAGCTCACAGAAGCTGACTACCTGAACCCTTGATCTACTAGCCATAACTACAGCTTTAATTGGACAAGTGACTAAATTCAGTAACTTTCTCCTAGTAAGAAGACCACCAACCACGGACTGCTCCTGGCCAGTTTATGGAGATTACACACTTGTGTAACTTCATGTCCTGAAAAGACCTTTGAATACATATGGGGATATTTTTCCCCTCCAAATCTCTTGTTGAAATGTGATCCCCAGTGTTGGAAATGAGCCCAGTGGGAGGTGTTTGGATCATGGGAGTGGATTCCTCATGAATGACTTGGTGCCTTCGTCAGGTTAATGAGTAAGTTCTCCCTCTATGAGTGCGTGCAAGATCTGGTTGTTTTCAAGAGCCTGGCACCTCCTCCTCTCTCTCGCTCCCTCTTGCTATGTGACATGTTGGCTCCCCATCTGCCTTTCACCACGATTGTAAGCTTCCTGAGGCCTCAAAAAAAGCAAGCAGATGTTGGTGCCATGCTTGTACAGGCTGTGGAAACATAAGCCAAATAAACCTCTTTTCTTTGTAAATTCCCCAGCCTCAGTTATTCCTTTACAGCAAGGCAAAACTAACACAAGGGCCTAATCATAGTACATTTAAATATTATGTCCCCACCCCAAGGTGAACATGAATTCTATGTCACATGCATGTTTGTTCAATATGCATGTGTCAGAACCACCTTCATGAATATTCATAGCTGTTCCTGTAACCGGTTGAATATGTATGTTTGACCAGCCTGTTCAACATAATTCTCCTACCGCACTCCCTTCTCATTTGAGGTGCCCGTCTCTGGACTTTGGCCAGACAGAGGCTCTATTTCCCAGCCTGCAGATGGCCACTTTGCAGGCTGTTACCCTTTATAAGAAATAAAGTATCCTTCTCCTTTTCTAAACTTATAGATTACGTGTGTGACTGTGTTTTTAAGTTTACACATTCTAGAAAATAAACCTCAACCGAGCTTTCTGTCTCAAAAGCATTATCATGAATCCTTCTTGCAAATCATATAGTGCTAACATGTTTACAGCCCATTTTCAAAAAGTTTTCTCCATCTACTTACTCCAGTTGCCTTTGACTGAATTATCTAAAGTCTGCATTTCCTTTTAAAAACTAAGATCTGTAATGGATATACTGATATGTATTATTCATTCTGCTGATGATTAAATCATGCCTGGCAAATAGGAAAATTCATTTTTTAGGCAAAATGAACTTAAGTCTCCAAATGACCCTCTCCCCTTTTTGTGAGTTGGTATGGAAAGTAAATCAATTAGATTCCGTGTAAGTTAAAATTTCTTGTCTGATAGACCTATGGAAAGCGGATCCATTGAGCAGAAGGAGATGCTTTTGCTGAATGGGAACAAGGGTTAGGGAGACCCATGAGGATTCAGACTAGGGAATGATGTATTAAACTTCACCTTTAATCAGAAGATGACTCACAAGAACCCATGGAACCTCACACTAAATAATCTGTGGAGTGTACAGAAGCAGGTCATACAAGTTCTAAGGGAAAAGACTGTGTATAAACATGAAAGCCATTTTCAGAGGCATAGTATTAAGAATTGACTGCCAAATATTTCTGATTCCCACACTCCAGAAACGTGATATGATTATATTCCCTGGCCCCTTTACAGTTGATGGAGACCTGCAATTAAAACATGGAGGGTGAGCAAAATAGATCAGTGCCATTTCTAGGCCACAATATTAAAGTGACAATGCAAGACCTTCTAGAACATTCTTTGCCCCTCACATAGTAACACCAAAGCTAGAACGATGGCTATTCTGTCTTCATGGATCCCTCAGGAACTATGTTGAGCAGTCATTACTGACACTCGATGAAGGAATTGTAACCTGGGTGAGAAGTAAGCTTTTGTTGTTTTGACTGCTGAGATTTGGGGATTGACATTTCAATATAAATCATAGTAGCATAACATAGAATACCCTAATATAAGCAGCTGTAGTTACCATTAACATATCACAGGCTCAGCTGACTTGGGGAGAAAGAACTCAGCTGTCAGCCGTCAATTTAAGAAACAAACTACAATGAAAGCAATGGTCAAGGCTTTAATCAGTTACTATGATGTTACAAGCAAGAGGCTAAACTGGAGAAAGCTCCAACTCCACCTATTTCATTTTCCCACATGGAATGTTGCACCGACTGAGGATGAGAGAAATCTACACAGACAGAGACTAGGGGATTGTCTCACTGGTCAGAGAACCCCAGTAAGAGGTTCTTTCAGTTTTATGGACCCTGGAGTCATAGGAAATTGTGCGGGAAGGACAGGGAGTGGAAAACTACTTACTGGATACTAAGAGTAAACAAAAGTTTCAACTTTTTCCCTTCCTGCTCTTATTAGGAAGTCTCAGCAGAGGTGCCTGAGGAAAGCCTCAGTCAAAGGTCCCAGGGAAAGAGATCTCAGAATGAAGGTGACTGGTTAGTGATATCTTTTGGCTCCGTGTCCTCACCCAAATCTCATCTGGAATTGTAATCCCCACGTGTGGAGGGAGGGAGGTGATTGGATCATGGCGGTGGTTTCTCCCATGCTGTTCTCATGATAGTGAGTAAGTTCTCATGAGATTTTGTTGCTTAATAAGTGTGGGGCTCTTCCCCCTTTGGGCTCTCTCTCTCACCTGCCACCATGGAAGACGTGCTTCTTCCCCTTCCACCATGGTTGTAAGTTCCCTGAGGCCTACCCAGCCATGTGAAACTATGAGTCAATGAAACCTCTTTTCTTTATAAATTATCCAGTCTCTATAAATTAGCCAGTCTCAGGCATGTCTTTATAGCAGTGTGAAAACGAACTAATACAGTTAGTAATGCAGATATGCCTAAGAGCATGACCAGCCACGAAGGCTGAGTACTTGACTGAAACTCCCATCACAGACTGAAGTGCACTGGCTGGGCACTGAGCCTGGTGTAGAGAAGGTAGCTTTACCCCATGAGGTTTGCCAGGCCTATGATCAGGCCTAAAATATCACACAAAAGTGTTTTGGCCAGAAGACAAGACTCCTGATAAATCAGTAATCAAGACAACATTAGCTTGAGACTCTTTATACTTTGAGTTCCTACAATAACAATCTGAAACCTAAATTAGAAGTATAACAAACAGCCAAGGTTCATCTAATCACAGGCCAGCCAACTCATCAGACCATGCCCAAATAATGCAGACACCCAGCTGTGGACAACCAGGTGACCTCTGTACTTTGCCTCTGTGTCTGATCCATAAAAGCCAGCTGTTCACACAGCTGGGTGAAGTTCCATAAACCTTTTCTGGGTCTGAGTTCTGCCTGATTCATGAATTGTACTTTGCTCAAATAAACCCCGCTAAATTTAATTTGTCTAAAGTTTATGTTTTGTTTTTTGTTTAACACTCTTCAACATATAATTGCAAGACCAAGAATGTATCTGTTCTGCCACCAGAGGCAGAGAATTGGTGGTTAATTTTTTTTTATTAATGGCTAGAGTCCTTTTCAAATGAGTCTGTTTCAGTTATCTATGGCTGTGTAACAAATTGCTCCCAAACTGACTGACCATTTTGATTTGCTCATAATTCGAGGGTAAAGGATTTGGAAAGGGCTAGGCTGAGCAGTTTGTCTGTGATTCTTTGGTGTCTGTCAGCAGAGTCAGCAGTGACTGGAAGATGTTGTTCCCTTGTGGCTCCCTTATTCACGTATGTGGTGAATCAATGTTCTTTATTCTCTCTCCCTCCCTTTATCTCTCTCTCCCTCCCCTACCCCCTGTCTCTCCCCATTCACCCAACACAAAGGTTTGATGGTTTCTTAACTTCTGGGCCTTTCCGTGCAACTAGGGTTTCTCACAACTTAGTGGTCTTAGAGTAGTTAAATTTTTCACGGTGGCTGGCTCCCAAGAGGCAGGAAGTGGAAGCTGAGAGGTCCATTAAGAACAATACTCAGAACTAGCATGGGGTCATTTCTGCCTTTGTTGTTATTCAAAACCAGCCTACAAAGCCCACCTGGTTTTAAGTTTGTGAAAAATTCAACTTCACTTCTTCATAGGGAAGCTGCAAATCACTTTGTAGAAGCACATACGGGATGGGAGATGTTATTGTGGTTTTCTTTGGAAAAAAACCTGCCATATATCCCATGTTGGTGAGTTTAGATAGACTGGAATACTAACAAGCTTAAAGAAAATCTGTCACAAGTTATTTATAGGTCCTAAGAGTAAAGAATATACATACAAATAACTGTCATAAAACATATACATATATTGTGTAAGAAGGAATACAAATAATTGTAATAAAACATACACATATATTGTGCAATGAAAGAATAAAACATATACATATATTGTGTAAGATGGAATGTTTATTTCTAAAAGATAATGCTTATTTCTAAGGGATGATGTTTATTTCTAAGGAAAACTTTGTATTAGGTTTTCATTGCTAATGTAACAAATTTCCATAAACTTGGCAGCCTGTAAGAACGCCAATATTTTAACTTACAGTTTTGTAGGTCAGAAGTTTAGGTGGGGTTAGCTGGTTTCTGTGCTCCAGGTCTTACAAGGTTAAAACTAAGGTACTGAAAGGTCTGCATTTCCTACTGGAGGGTCTGAGGAAACATCTGTTTCCAAACTTATTTAGATTGCGGGCAAAATTCAGTTTTCTGTAGTCATAGGACTCACATCACTGTTTCCTTTGTGGCTGTTGGTTGGGGGCCAGTTTTTTTCTCCTAGAAGCTACACTCAACCTTTCTTAGGGTTTCCATGTGAATTCCTCCAGCAATGACTAATTGAGTCATTGTCACACTTTGAATTTCTCCGAGTAATCCTTGTGCAATATCTCTCTACCTTTAGATGGAGAAGTGATTGGCTTTTAAGGGGTCATGTAAATATATTGGACTCGCCTGGGTAATCCAAAATAATTTGACAACTTGAATGTCTGTCACCTTATTTATATTTGCAAAGTCATTTTTGCCGTGTGACATAGCATATTCTCAGGTAGGAGAGATTAGGGCCTGGACCTATTTAGAGGGCTCTTCTGTCAACCATAGAAATCACAAAAAGCATTCCATCTGTTTCTTGACAGATGAATAAGCTATTTCAGTGCTATAGAAGTTGAAGCTATATAGAATGTGAAGTATTTTGTATTTATGCTAAGTAGTTTGAACTAAATCTGTTTTGACTAGTCTTATATCTATGGTCTTGGGGCAGAGAATAATATATTTTTTGCATTTTTCAGAGATAAATTTGAGGGTGAGATGGAAAATATTTAGACAGAGTGAACTAGCTCAAGGCTTAACTATCAGGAAGAGATAATAATGTTCTATATTGTGGCTTACTAATAAGATTGGGAATGGAACATGAGAATGATTTTATGGAAATGAAAATATTTGATGGTTATTTTTTCTTAGTTATAAGAGTCTTCATTGATTTATAAAATCTTCGTAAGTTTATCTGGAAAGATGGGGAGGGTAGCATTTTTCAAAATTAAAGAGACCAGGGGAAAATGATACATTTGGTTTGAATTATATTGATTTTTGAGATTTTTAAGCTATCTTTAAGAAGATACCCTCCAGATAATCAGATACATTAATAAGTCAAGAATTCAAAAGAGAGATAAAATACACAGACGTGCTTGTGATTTTCTATTTTCTTTAGAATAATTTAAACAATAAACATATTAACGTTTAGAGAACCCAGGTCAGGATATATATGCGTTTTATTTAGATTTCATATATTTCTGAATTAGCCTTTTAAAGTGTACAAGGAAAACTTAGAAAGAATCTTCCACTTTTTCCCCTAATATTCTCTTAGTAGTCTATCATAGACTTATTCCTTCAATAACAATTGTATTTCCTGCAATGGACTGGTTTTAATAATGCTTGAACAAAAGCACATTTTCTAGTTTTTTATAATTCATCTTTTTTAAAGAAAAGTATTTAAAGCTCCTTCTTAATTGATGACTCAGATTTTGGCCATGAAAACAATTACGCCTTTAGTTGCCTTGTTTTGCAGAATACATGAGTCTTTTTATCCATTGAGATTTATTCCAAAATGGAAACAGCAATGCTAAAATGTCTAAATTGGTTGAGGCTAGATATTTGATAGAGCTTGGGAGGTAAGTAGAATCTCAGGGAATAAAATAAATTTAATAGCTATGTTTAGAACCACACACACATGCACACATTAAGTGAGTTTAAAATTGTGATCACATGACGAAAAGTTGCAGCATTAATGGAAACCCAAACACACTGCTATGGTCAGCAGAATGTTGATGTAGGAAAAATATTTTAATCTTGATAGCATAAAATCCTGTCCTCTGCCATCAGGGTTACTCTGGCAAAGAGGCTTAAAAAGAAATATTCTAAAAGAGGTTGCTGCACTTTTATAATGAATAATAATGTTTCCAAGTTCCGATATTCTGCCTATCTGTTTCTACATTGTGGAACATTTTAGGACTTTGTTAAACTTTTCACAAGAACTTGTCTTTGAGAAAAGTACATTTAATAGAAAATTATCTAACATCTGACATATTTCTCTCCCTATCTCTCTCATATACATATTTCCAAATATATATACATATATCCATATATATTTTTGTATCTATATATTGTTATATACATGGAAGTAAAAGTTTGGACTAATTATTCTGCAACTTAAACTTAGAAACCAGATAAATTAAATATAAGTGACTGTGGTTTATTTTTCATAGTGGGAGCATTTAATTTATTTTTGTGCTTGTTAGTTTTGATGAGTTCTTATTTCATTTGGATTTGTTTGACAATTTGCTTATTTATATGCTTTCGTTTTAGAAAATTACTATTTTGCAATGTGAAGAATTTCAGGAAGAGTGTTTACAAACAACAACAAATCAGTTGAGATACATTACAAATGTCTGACAAATTAATATTTCAAACATTGATACTTAATATTTAGGTCATTTAGGAGCTGAGAAGGAAAAACGATGCAGGCATTATCAGTTATTGCTGACACCACCGTTCGCTAAATGCCCCCAAATCTTAGGGATGTCTAAAAGAGAACTAAGCTTTGGCACATCTTTTGAGAAATGTTATAAATTTATATTGATGAATACTAACATTGAGCACAGGATAATAGCAAAGCTGAACGCATTGCATGGGTTTCCCATTGCTGGTGTTAACATTAATGCTGACTAATCTTGCCTACAGATTTGCCATTGTTGATTAAATGTTTAATGATTCTAAATCCATGTCCAAAAGTTTCTTACATTTTTCTTTATAATATTAAATATTAGGTTCATTTTTGCTCTTTTGCCCCCAATTCTGTAAAAATAAACAAGGTTAAAAATCAGGTGTCTTATTTTTCCTAGATAGGAAATTCTGTCTTGCTGTCTCATTCTTTGAACAAACTCAACTTATTTGTGAAATTATTTTTCTAATATCCTGCTAAATAGCATCAAAGACATAGTTTGATGTGAGTCATATTGATATAATAACTGTCTCATGTGACATGGGACAGTTTATTTGGTTTACAAATGAATACAAATGATAACATCAAAATAGTCTGTAAAATATATTAGCAATATTGGCTATTGTTTACACTGAATAAAAGTGTTATTTAGAAGTTTGGAAAAATCAATATCTTACTTGAAATTCAGTAGAATACATTAACTCTTTTTTGTTTATTTTGGCAGTAAAAGTCAATTGCAGAATAAAGAAAAAAACCGTAGTCGAACACTAATCCACTTGTCTTCTAAATTTATGCATATGCATATACACAGACACAAAAATCAGTCATACATTTAAGCTATCTAATGATTTCTGCTGCTTAAAAACTAGAATATTATTTAATTTATAGAACATTGGAGCTAGAAGGAACCTTAAACATTACATCACCCAAGCATGTATTTTTATTGCCAAGGTCATAGAGTGAAAGTGATTCAAACCAAAATCAATTTGTCTTCCAAGTCCAGTTTTCTTTTTACTAAAATACTTTGTCCCTTATATCTAGAAAACCCAGCAAGAATATAATAAAAGCACAATTCTAAAATCCCGAGATCATTTTAAGGGATAAGGTCTTCTCCCACCTTCATGTTCCAGAAGCTTGCTATTTGATTTTTGATCCCAAACATATTAGAGGCTTTGTTAGCAGCTCCTTCTGGCACTGAATCATCCAACACAAAACTGTTTCTCCATTTAGTGTATGAAGAGCCAAGAATGAGGTTGGAAACTAAAATTCATTTGAGAAAAGTGACATTTATTTGTTTAATATTTTCATTCTTTTGAAACATGCTTGTATTTAATTTAGAGGACTATGGTTAGCATAAAAAAGGTCTTTATTTCTCTTTCCATTCCTAGAATGGAAACTACTAATGCAAATTGCTGACTCATTGTGTGGTAAGGGAAAGTAAATGAAGAAACCAGCTCAGGCTCTAATTATCCAAGAATATCATGCATAAAATAAGAAAAATGTAAGTCCATAAAAATTTAAATTCCTCCATGATAAATTTGAAGTTAAGAAACTTTCCTGGCTGGGTGTGGTGGCTCCCACCTGTAATCCCAGCACTTTGGGAGGCCAAGGCAGGTGGATCATGAGGTCAGGAGTTTGAGACCAGTGTGACCAACATGGTGAAAACCCATCTCTACTAAAAATTCAAAAATTAGCTGTGCGTGATGTTGCATGCCTGTAATCCCAGCTACTCAGGAGGCTGAGGCAGGAGAATCGCTTGAACCCGGGAGGTGGAGGTTGCAGTAAGCTGAGATCGCACCACTGCACTCCAGCCTGGCGATAGAGCGAGACTCTGTCTCAAGAAAAAAAAAAAAGAAACTCTCCTTACTGTTAGATGAGTTCTATTTTCAATCATTTGATGATGCATTCTTCACTCATGTATTAGTTTATTTAACACATATTTTTAATGCCTTTACTGTGCCTGACACTTTTTTAGACCACTTTATCTATTGGGTAAAATACTGAAATCTCTTCCTTTGAGGCTGCTGTTTCTCAGTCTTTTACACTGAAACCTACAGTCTATAAACTGTGCAAAAGCTAGATATAAATCTCCAAATTAAATATATAATTCTTCAATTTACTTGATTTTTTTCAAAGAGTTATTTCATTTGGCATAAACAGCGAGTCAGAAGAGTTTGATTTAAAAGCCAAGGTATGGTTGAGAGGACATGGAGTAGGACAATTAGAAAGTCAGGTCCAGGGGCCACTATTCCTGGGTTCAGATTACAGGCCTGCCCGTTGTTAGCTGTGTGACCTTGACCAAGTTAGTTACTTCTTCACTCATAGATGCTAATATGAAAATTAAGATAATACTATGGAGTTAATTCATGTAAAATAATTAGAGAACCTGGCACATGTTAGATGTTATTGCAATCATGTAAATTGCCTTAGGCAAATAGAAATGTAATTATAGTTACAATTTAGGCAGGGCAAGAGAAGACTCTGGGCATGAAAGGAGAAGCCAGATTACTTAGTATTTAATAATAAGATTATTTGTCTATGAGATGTAAGTGATAATAATAAATGAAGTACTTTACTTTGTAGCAAGTTATAGACAAAAGTAAATGTTAGAAATATTTTAATTGCCTGAGAATTGTTTTTTCGAAGGGAACAGATTTTAGCCAGAGAAACTAGTTAGGAGAATTTTATAATAGTCTAAGGTAGAACTAATGATATTTCATATAAAAATGACAAAATTATAATTAAGAAAACATATTTTTGAGCCAGGGAACATACTCAAATATTTTCATGTATAGAGTTATTGAATCTAATCTATGAGGTATGAATTATTTTTATTTCCCAACATAAAAGAATAAAATGTGACTTGGAGATGCTTAGGAATTTGTCTACTATCATACAGTTTCTAAGTGCTAGGCTTAGTTTTATACTAATATATTAATTTATCTGAGTTGATAATTAACTTTATTATATCACAGTCCTTCTGGTTATTAATTTCTATACAGTAAGAACATTAGATGTTTATTGAATTGATTCATTACGTGTGATTATAAGAATAAAGACATGGTCAAAAACGAATTATGGCTCTCCAATTAATGATAGCAGGATTAGAAGAAAAACAGACTGAGGAGAAAAATTGAAGGAGAAGATTGGTTCATGTTGGCAGATGGTAATTCTTAGCTATCCATGGGATGTCCAAAGGAAGATGTTCAGAATACAGATGAATGTACACATGTGAAGCTGCAGGAGAGGTGAGAGCAAGAAATAGAGATTATGAGTTTCAAGTGCAAACAAAATAGAAGTAGAAAAGCAAATATGAAGAAATAGTCAAAGAGTCACCAAGATAATCAGGCAAACAAATGGAGTAAAACCTTACAAGGAACAAAAGCTCAGCAGTGTTGACTGGAATGTAGAGTGATACAGTCATGAAATACTTTTCATTAAATTTAGTACCAGCAGGCTTTTAATTTTCTTGCAAGGAATATTTTTATTTCAGGCATGGAGAAAGAAACTAGATTGTTAAATTTTAAAATGTCATTAGTGAATGAGACACAGAGAACTGGACTCAGAAAAATGTATGATAAATTTTCAGTAATTTTGAATGAGAAAAGAAAGAGAAAAACTGTTTGGGAGTGGGTATTGTAAATAGAGACATTTGTTCCATTTTGTATTGTTTTGTTTGTATTACAGAAATGGATATACCCATACGAAATGGAGAGGGGATGAGTATGTAATAGAGATAGGGCCGTTTTTTTGGAGCAATGTCTGTTAGGAGATGAGTAGGAAAATTACGAAAAAACACAGGCATCCTGAAATGACTCATAGATGTAGCAGACAAGATCCCACAGCAGGTCAGTTTCTTACTTTGGGATCTATTTCTTCCATGCTCAAAATAATCACAATTTCATAGGTAAAATTCAGTACCCATCAGGCTATAAATCCTTCAGATTCTCACAATCCTTCTTATGATAACGTCAGATTTCTTGCCGAGTCTTGCTTGTGCATTTGAATTTCATTTAAATTTTGAGAAAATACTGCCCTATCTTACCATGATTCCTCCCATTGTCATACGTATTACCAGAATTTATTTTGAATTTTCTCTCCATGTTAAAGAAAAAAAAAAGGCATTACTCAATGCTCCAAATAAAAATGTGAAAGTGATTGTAGGCCGTTTAAAGATGGGGGAGATCAAGGCATTGAATGTATTCGAATTGAAAGTAGTTCTGAAAAAATTTCTGGTAAACAAATTGGCTCAGCATTCTTTCTGTCTGTCTGGTTCTTTGTCTCCGTCTGACTCTTAATTAACTTCTCCTCTCTCTGAATCTGTGTCTGACTTAATTTTTTTTAAAAATTAAAAACAATTAATTTTTAAAAATTCCAGAAGACACACCATGTAACAATTCTTTAAAATTCCCAGAGATCACTCTCAAGACCTCTTCTTCACTCTATCGACCTTCAATTTAATTAAGAAACTGCCACCTGTATTAACATATAAATCCTGATTTCTCAGCAATTTCACAAAAGAGGTCTTGCTGGAGATTTGGAAAGTGAAAGTGAAGCAGAAGCTATTTTGTGTCTTAAACATATTGCCACCTATCTGCTGGCTTCTTTCGTTGACATGAGGCAGTGGCAGGGCCTGCAATTCCTTTATTTTCCCCTCATTTCTCAAACTCTTGGATCCAGTGAGTGTGTTTATTAGCATGCAAAGGGCTCAATTTCCTCAGGATCCCTTCACCATCAAGGTCAGAGGCAACGAGAGCTGACACTATTTTCAAAGCATCTTCATGGGAGTCCAGATCATGTTTGTGGGTTCAAGCTTAATCTTGGGTAGTCTGCCCTACTTTCTATCTAGTGTCCCTTCCAAACCTGCCTACCCTGTTTGCTTCTACTGCCGGCATCAGACTTGATGAGAAGAATCTTACTGAGACTGTTTAACTGGCCCCCACAACCGCTTAAAATCAAATTTCCGTAACAAATGTATGTGCATGTGTAGCAGATGTACATGCATGTGTATATGTGTGGCGGTGAATATATACACACACCCATACACGCATACATACAATACACTATACATTACTCTAATAATTCTGCTTTGCTAACTTAGCCTTGATTGATACATCCAGTTTTATCTCTAGTATAAATTTTCTTCTGTAATCTCCACTGATTCACAACCTGCCTGTTCTAACAAATACTTTATACTTAACCATATTCCAAACAAATTACATTTCACACAAACTGCCTTTTCACATACTCACATACTTGCTCATATCTTTAAATGGAAATTACCTTCTTCAGTTGCTAGGGTTTGGAGACATTTTAAAATTTTGCCCTTTTCCTTACATACACTTTCCACCTGGGAAAAGAAACAACTGGCATACCTTCAAAATATTTCCATTTATATCTATACCAAATATCCAAGTACATAAAAAAATCAATCACTCTTCACTACCTTTTCCACCCTCATTATGGGCTCAGGCATCATTAGCTCTAACTTGAGTTCATGTGGTATCAGCCTTAACTGGATTTCGGCTTTAGTTTTTCCCTATAGAGCAAATAGAATGAGCCTTTCAAAAAGAAGAGTTTATGTCTTCTCTCAAAAATTTTCAATGACTCTTCATCTTACCTATGCTAAAAACAAAAGGCCTTGTAATAGTCAACAAGAACCTGCTGCGTTCAGATCCCATATCTCGCTCCTTACCTCTCGCTTGTTCTCTGTGCTCAGACACCCTGGCTTCCCAGCTGTCCTTAAAACACACATACTCGAGGACTTTGCAATGGCTGGCCCATCTGTTTGAACTGCTTTGCTCTCACGTGTTCACAGTATGCACACCCTCATTTCCTATAGGTGTAGGAATGTACCTGAATACATTACATGTGATAACACCCATCCTTCCAGCCCCCGTAATTCACAATAATTACTCTTGATGCCCTTATTATGCTTTATTTTTCCCATGGTATTTACAATTATTTGATGTGCTACCTATATGTTATTTATCTGCTTGCTTATTCTCCATATGCCACATCAGAATGAAAGCCATAGGAGAGCAGGTACTTCTTCATCCTTTGTGGGATAGATGAATAAATGGATGGATTAATAAACGAGTCAAACAATTTTCTTCTGACCATTTACCTTGAAGATCAATTTTCTTCTGAACAAATAAGTCAGCATTTGGGGTGTTTTTCTACCACTTACTGTGTAGAAGTTGATGTTTTGCTAGAGGTGGTCTTACATAATTGCTTACATCAGTCTCTTTTAGAATGCAAGAAATAGAAATACATTACAAATTTCCCAATCAAGGTGTGTGCAAACCAAGTGTACATTTAGAATTAGGTATCAAAGAATAATCTCATCGGTCACACGTAGAGAAGTTCAAGAAAATTCATTTATTCATTCATTCATTCATCCATTCATTTGTTAGGTATTAGGATAAGCAGCTAAGAAGATGCTTCAATTACCGAGGAGTAATTCTAGTGATCTGCCTTATGTGTAACCTTTCTTTCTCTTTGTTATTTATTTATTTATTTATTTTCTGGTCTCTATTTGCTTCTTATACTAGTATAAACTATTAAACACTACGTTTCTATCTTCTGTTTACATTGTCTTATCTTTTATTTAGTTTAAATCCTCTCATACAAATAAAACTTTAAGCCCCCCCACCCATTTATTTTACTTTATGTACCAATGTAATAAAAAATTAATAATGTGATCCACAATATTTAAGAATTACTGAGTGAGCCCAAAAGTTTATATTTTTTTCACGTGAGCTACAATATTTCTCTTCAGCAGCTCAGAATCTAATTGTGCTTTCGCATGCACCTCATAAATATGTACAAACATTTGTATCAATAAAAATTCTGTGGAAGAAAAGGTTCAAACAATAACAACTACAACAACAATGGAGTTTTATAAGGATGATTCTGAGTCAGATGATGAAGATAAAGAGAAATAGGAAGAGGAAGGGGAGTAAGAAGAAGATGAGGAAAAATAAGGAAAGGATAACAAGGAGAAGAAGACAGGTGAATTGGACTGGAGTTTTGGAGGAGCATATTGTGCTTCCTTAGTTAATCCTTGAAGAACAATTATGGCTTGGTTGAAAAGAAAGAGAAGGGCTAGACGCGGTGGCTCACGCCTATAATCCCAGCACTTTGGGAGGCTGAGGTGGGTGGATCACCTGAGGTGGGGAGTTCAAGACCAGCCTGACTAACATGGAGAAACCCCGTCTCTACTAAAAATACAACATTAGCCGGGGTGGTGGGGCATGCCTGTAATCCCAGCTACTCGGGAGGCTGAGGCAGGAGAATCGCTTGAACCCGGGAGGTGGAGGTTGCGGTGAGCCGAGATTGCACCATTGCACTCCAGCCTGGGCAAAAAGAGTGAAACTCCATCTCAAAAAAAAAAAAAAAAAAAAAGAAAAGAAAAGAAAGAGAAGGAAAGGACATGCCAATCTGAAGTGCTAAAGGTAAAAAGTATGTTAGCGAAGACTGCCAAATGTTATGGACAGTGTCTCTGGATAAATAGGTTTATAACACAAGCAACTCAATCAGCATGCTAACAAAGCACTTCAGTTAAAAATGATCTTTACTTAACACCCTATAGATCATTAAGTTATCGTTTTAGAATCAAATATACATTAAAGATCATTTTACTCTTTGATACATTTAAACAAGCTTCCATTGATTAGTATATTTTATTTTTTGTTTTTAATAGCATGTCTTTTCAGTGTATTATGGGGAATATTAATACTTTTCAGATAGTACTTATATTGGTGATTACGGATAGAGTCAAGATGATTATTTAGCTGTTTTGATACAGTATATATGTCGGAGAATAGAAAAAAATAGAAAATAAAATAGAAAAGAATATGAGGATTATGAATGAATTCACTAGGTCTTTGCAATCTTATTACACAATGGACTAGATTGATTAATTGACTGACAAAAAGTCTTAATATATAAAATGTATTCCAGAATGTTCAATGAAAAATTATTTTTAAAGTCAGAATAAAATTTCAGAAACTTGTGCCCCTATGAAATACAAAGCTCATCACATTATACACACAAATTTATATAATTATGATTTGCCAACTAAAAATAATATTCATTTTCAAAAACTATTAAAGTTATTTCACACATACACCTTCATGAATTGAAAGTTTACTTCACCAGTTACAAGAAGATACTTGAGTTTTCTTAAATCTTTTATTTAAAATCCTGAAATCAAAGATTCAGGTTGGTTACCTTGGGGGAAAGAAATCCCTGAGAGAAAACTTCAGGCACATAACCTGATGAACAAATGAAGAGTGTATACTTTTATTCTGACTTTATTATTTTAGATTTCATTAACTGCATAGTTGTCTGAAAAGGGCAAGGAATTTTGATTTCTGAATAAGGCTGGGAAGCTGATTTAGTGCACCATTGCAGGTGGTGTACTGAATTGGGCAAAACTGATAGATGTTAAGACTCAGTGGACTGGACCTTCTTGATCTTCCAAAAGCTGCACTTTCATAAGAGATATGTATTTAAAAATTCCTTTAATGTGATTTTTGTTGAGAAGGGTATTATCCATTCAAAATTTGATTTGTAAACTTCTGCTACACTAAAGTGATCAATAATCAGTTATTTTACTTTTATTTAAAAATTTTTCATTATTATACAAAATGGATCATTATAACAAGTTGAGGAGGGGGAAGAAAGATGATGTGTAATTTAACAATAATGTACATTTAAATGAACCACAATTAATAAAGAAATTAGAAAAAGTCTCTTAATGATCCTAACAAAAAATCAGACTAAATATCTTCTTGATAGTTGGTGATGGGGGATGATGAGAAGAAAGAAAAGGATAGTTGAGTTGTGAAAGGAAAAGGGAGAAAACCTCTACTCTTCAGTACTGAATGTGTAGCAGACACTTTACATATCATTTCTCATTATTCATCATATTGTCACATTCATCTTTAAGTGTGTATGTAATTTTACACTGGGACATTTAACTATGGAGAGAAAATTAGATGAAATGATAATATTGTGAAGGATATTCAAGGAATACAGTGCTGGGTTCTTGAAATGAAAAGGAAAGCAAATTATATTTTCAATAGATTTGGAGGACAGAATCAAAATCATAAAGGAAGAAGAACAAGAACAATTGTCCATTCACTCTTTCCTATGCATAATATTTACAAAACATGGACGGAACTAAAATCTATTAAAATATCAAATGATTTGTGTGTGTGTGTGCGAATTTGGGTAGCACAATGGATATGTTCAATATTTCAACATTTTCTAACTTTTTAGAATAAATTTACTACCATGCTATATTTTAAAAGCATCAGCTGAGCTCTTTAAACTAGTTTAAAGAATATTTAATTGTGTTTTCTGTGTCACTACCCAGCTGTTTCTAAATGAGCAATTAATACAGTGTTGGTATTTAGCTAAATGCATTATTTTGAATCATTTCAACTAGCTACTTCATGTACAGTGATGAAGACTATATGCCTGACTTGGCTACTTCAAATTAAAAATGCTTTTCTCTTTTCTACATTTATCTTGTACTACAGATTTCTCTCTTTTTGCCTGGATTATCTTCTGTGCTTTAACTGTATTTGGAGCTCACATAATTTAAGATTGCACTTTAGCAACACTGAAAGCTTTTGGAAAATTAGGAAATGAGCAATAGTCACTTGAAATAGTATTTTCCCATAGAAAAATATTTATAAAATTGTATTAGTGGTACTTAAGCATCTCTGGATACACATTTCTGAATTTCAGTAAAAGTTTTAAGAGGGGAAAAATAATACTGCCCTTTGATAACTTGCTATAGTCAGATTTGAGACATGATATAATCACTTAGGAATTACTATAAAAGAAACTTGACAAATAATTTGGCTTAGACCTGAATCTGTCAAGGGAAACATATCAGAAAAGTTGAGCCTTGACAACATTAGCAAATTTATTGAGTGCTTACTATGTTCTATCTAGCTACTCACACACTTTCCGAATTTAACTCCTTTTAGCTTTATTTGAGAAAGACAGGAAATGCTAAATAATAACTTCTTCAAATAAAGGAAACAAAGCTAATAAATGTTTGTGATTCGAATCAAATCCAGTCAACCATGTATATATACTACAGTGGTTGCCTTTCAGTGAGAATACGGTGCTAGATATAAAAATAATCTTAGCCAGGTTGAAAATGGTAATAGCATCTTTCTATTTGTGTGTCCACCTCACCACCATAGATTTTTCCATTTGCTGATTCCTGTTTTCATTCTGTATTTCCAATTCACTCCAGGAAGAACAGCATTTTTAAACAGAGCAGGGATAGCATCTTCGGAGTACATTTTAAAATAGTAACTAGAATTGTGAAAGTTACTGTTCCAATGAATACTTCAGTGGAAGAAGTAGGGATAAAAAGAAATGAAGAAACAGAAGTTCTGTAAAGATATTGATTTCTCCCAGTGAACATAAAGTGAGGCAGGAAATTACAGGACATTCCCATTCTCTATATTGTCAATATCTAAATGGGGAGGAGTGTTTAAGTAAAAACAAGGCCAGTCATTGTCAGATCTTCAATATGGCAAACTGCCAGTACTTTTAGAATCTTGAAGTTCAGGCATTTAACAACCCCTCTCCATTTAGGTAATTTAGTCCTTGTGAAAGGAAGATTGGCAGAAAGGAAAGAGAGTGACGCACTCTGTTTATCCACAGTAAAATAGATCCTGGGCACTAAGTGCACAATCTTCTATCATGTTGTCCTGCCAAGACACTTTACTTTATCCACAGAATCATTTACAGGACAAAGGGTAATTGAGATATTGACTTTAACCACTCCTTGATCTTAGAAACCTGTACACTTGCTATATAGTGCCCAAGGCAGCTATTCTACTTTATAGTCTTCTCAGGGAAAAAAAAAATCCCTCTACATTTGCAAAGATTGAGTGCCCACGCAATATTAAATTTACAAAAACCTACTTAAGATAAATTCTGAACTAGTGCTTTTAACACATTTAGTAGGTGTCAGAAATAAAGTAAAAGCAACGTGAAGTTGCTGCTTGTGAAGAAGTAGGGTAAATCACTATCAATGGATCCATCGACAGTCCTTTCGCTTACCTCTTCCATCATAAGGTAACAAAGAAAGTGCCATTCCTTTCTCAGGTGGAAGCCAGTAAGAAAAATTTAAAGACTATAGGCTACTCTAACACCATATAAAATGTCCTTTTAAAACCTGGATTAAAGAGGCAGCATTCTATCTTATTTAAAGTAGATCTCTTTATTGCTAAGTATCCATTAGGATAGAAGGAAAACATATTTATTTATTCTTTAAATATTATATACCCTGTTTATTTCTAAAATGTCATGGTTTTAAGTTTGGTATAATAGCGTGAAAACATTCTTTAAAAAAATAACAAGACCAAGTTATTTACAAACAAAGATGACATTCTGAGACTTCAATTATTTATGTAATATTTCAAATAATTGATATACTTAGAAAAAAGAGTGGTTTCAGTTGTTTGGAAGAGGTGATTAATATAAATGTCATTGTGGTTAGCATGAAAAAAATTGTAGAGAAAAACTATTGATTGAGCTTTTATACTAGTTCTTAAGCTCTTGAATGGAATTTTACATAAGTTTTTTTTTTTTTCCTTAACAAATCCTCACAGTAGACCCATGGAAATTGTTTATTATTTGTCTTTCATTAATGAGGAAACTAGGCCTGAGAGATAAAATATATTTTCATAGGTCACAAATCACTGCAACTAAAAGCAAGTTTCTCACTTTGATGCTGGTATTCTTCCTCTGTGTCATGTATCTTTCATATTGCTACCGCAGTCATATCCCCAGTGTGGATAGTCCAGATCTTTGAAATAATGTAAAGTTAAGTAAAGGAAAGAAATTATTTTTAAACATCATCATTTCTTTTACTGTAAAATGGAAGTAATTATAACATGTCAATATCATGTATTTTTAAACAGCAATTGTGTTAATAGTATATTTTACAAATTTTAAAATGACATAAAAATGCAAGATGTCATACTTAAATTGTTAGTATTCATTTGTTGTCATATTTAACTTTTAAAAAATGCTTTAACAGCCTTGCACAAATTCTGTTGTCTGTCTTGTGCTCCAATTAAGATTCATTCAAAATATTTCTTTGTTAAGACATTATTCACAAAGTACTAATCATAAAAATAAGGCAGGAAAAGAACAAAAAATGGGCATTTCCTAATATCAACACATAGTAAACACTTTAAATGTCATATTAAGAATGTACATCTTTGTTTTTTTTTTCTTTTTGAGACAGAGTTTCGCTCTTTTTGCAACATCAGTACCAAGGACAGCATGCCTGGAAGCTGGTTTGCTAATTATGGGCAGTACCAACAACAAGCACTCAAATAACTGTGTGAGCAGCCCACACAAATACAGTCAGAACTAGGAAGGGGAATGAAAACAGGCATCAAGGTGAAGAGAAATGACAGACTGGGTTTTGGGGCATACATGGGATACCCATTTTAATCTCCCCCAAAATGAAGAGAATACACTGAGGGATTTTTAATTATCAACAATAAAGTTTCTGAGGCCTTAACCCACCATGGTTTGAGAATAAAAAGGCCTCAAGCCACCATGATTTACTTACCAACAATAAAGTTTCTGAGCCCTCAATCTACCATGATTTGAGAATACAGCCTTGCGTTTTGGTCACAATCTTGGGATATTCAAGTTAAAATAGTAATTACAATAATTACAGCAATGATAAAATTATTAATGTACTATTCTTAGGATTCAACATACACTTTTTGTTTTCATCATGACATTAGTCATGTAAAATAGATAATACGATTCCTGTTTTACAGATGAAGCATTTGAAATTCAGATGCATTAAATAATTTGTCCAAATAACATAACAAATAAATGTTTTTCAGTATTCAGATCAGTTTTTCTTTCTTATTATTGTGCATTTAACCAGCATTGCTACAAAATATGGACTCACTTGGTATAGTTTTGCACATGAAAAGTACTTGTTTGGTACATGAATAAATTCTATGTAGACTAAAACAACTGACAAAATGGAATCTAAAATTAGAAATCATATAGAATATAAGAAGTATATGTACATATATGTACCTCCATCCTCTGTTGTTGAAAACTCTGTTTCATTATGTAAAATAGAAAAAAAATATTTTCACTAAAATCTAATGAGCTCACATCTCATTGTTCAGAACTGAATCATTTCCCCACTTACATCCACAAAAAATAAAAATATAGAAAATGTATACTTTTCATGTGGGCATATTGGCATCAGGTAATCTCTGCTGCATGCCTCAAATAAAAAATGAGCAGGAGTGATAGGTAAAGCCAGTAGCTATGAAGTATAAATACTTAAAGTTTATATTTAAAAGAATAAAACTTAATAGAAATAAAGCAAAACAAATTAATGTCGTACTATTTTTTCTCTAATTGGCAGTTTTGTTGTTGTTATTGTGTTGTTTTCTTCCTTAGTTATATTGTGCTTGTTGGTTTAAAATGTTCCCCATTGGCTAAAGTCTAAGGAATAATATTTCCTATATTAATGAGAAGATGACTGACAAAGTACAAACTTTGTCAATAAGGTCATTTGACAGTGTGTACAAAAGTATACATTATTCCTCATGGGATTTAATCTCTGTAGGAGCAGAAACGCAGATTATTCCTTTCGTGACAATCAGAGAGTGAGCTGAAGATAAATGCCAGCCTCAAAACAGGCACTAAATGTTCTTGGACTGAATGAGTGGATACACCTAATTCTAGTAATTCCAATAATGAAAAAGTATCCTAGGCAATAAAAACTATTTGCATATAAATGTATGTAAAATAATGCTAAATTTGGCCTTATCTATAAAACTAAAAATGGAAACAACATACATATCCCAAAATATGGCTGCCTGATTAAATTATATTTTTTCCATAAAATGTAATATTGGAGATTTATTACAAATAGTGATAGTAATAGAGAAAAATGTTTATGCTAAGTAAAACAGCAGTTGCCAAATATTATACCAAAAATGAAATTAAAGCTGTAAAAGCATGCTATTTTATACAGCTAATAAAGTGAACACCTATTGGGTGTTAAATACTATTATGAGGTTAATTCTATTCTCACAACTGATTAGCTAATTTAATCTTTAGATTTATCTTCAGGCTTATGAGGCCGCTATTACCAATGAAATGTTAATTAATTATTTTAAGTCTCACATCAGTCCTAGGAGGTCAGTACTATTTCAGTCTCCAGGAAACCAAATCACAGAAAGGTTAATTACCTTGCTGTAGAACACGCATTTAAAAAGTGGCTTGACTTCAAAGAATTAAGCTCCAGAGCCATTCATCTTAAACCTTCTACTCTATGCCTATAGTTATATGCATTATTATTTGAGTTCCACCTTGTGTCCCAAATTATGGTAATATTTTTATTTTTTATATTGAGTATATATTATTCTTATAACACCAAAGCAAAGCAATATTTTCAGAGGACTTTTTGAGAAATGCTGTCTTAAATAAATAGTAAGAAAAAAAGGGACAAGGGTAATATGGAGATGCTTCAGGTATAAGATATTTCACAAAACCAATAAACAGACCGAAAATCACCAGTCATCTAACAATTTTAGGAATGTTATTAGATCCAGGTTGTTGACAGTGGTGGAGTATCACAGGGCATTATGCCAAGAAGGTGGGAGGGAACGTGAGGCGGACTGTTGTTGCTTTTGTGAGCTCTCACTTTGTGGCCAATGTTTCAAGCCATGGTTTCCCTGATCCTTTGGGTTTTCTCCTCTCCCTGTCCACTAGGTACCTACTGGCATATGAACATAAATGTCAGGTCACAGAATCAGAGCTTAATAAATAATTTTAATTTTAATGTGATTTTCAAGGAAAGTGCATAATTCATCCACATATGAAAACTGCCCCACTGATCTAAAAAGAGAAAATATCGGGAAATATATTTATTATGTCACTTGAAATTTTCTTTTTTAGTAATGGGGTCACCAGAATACAAAAGCGTGTGATCTATTGTCTTTAACACCCTCTGTAGTCAATAACACAAAGTCAAATATAGAGTAAATAGGAAAAAAATTATTTGATGCATATATGATATATGTGAAATATATATTTTTCCTTCAAAGTTCCTGGAAATTGTTACAGTTCCTTCTGCTCCTGCAGTGTAAATGAAAAGGAAAAAAAGCCTCTCTCAGTTATTTAGTGCTTGCAAGGAGCCCCTTGCCCAAATCTCAGCAGCGGAGTGTGAAAATCTTTAATATCTAGGTTTGCAACAGCAAAGCAACACCAAGTTTTGACAACAGTAACTGAGGCCATAGATAGTGGCATAAAGAAACTTTATACTCTAAAATTCTGTCAATTTCAAAAAAAAAAAAAAAAATTGCAAATTCAATTCTTATGAGAATGAGTTAGAGAATAATTTAGAAACAATATGACAGAAAGAAGTAGGCCTTTGCAAGAAAAAAATCATGTTAGAAGATTTGCATTATGATGATAATTATCACAATTTTTAATTTTAAATTTTGCTATGAATAGTCATAGGGTAAAATCAATACCACAAATTAATATAACATAATTATTTTATTCATACATCATATGAAATAGAGTAAGTTGTTTCTAGGATTTTATAATAATAAAAATATGAACATTCTTGTATATTTATCCCAGTGAGCAAGTGCAAAAATTTCCCTAGGGTAGCAGTTACCAAACTTTTTGATTGCCAATTTTACAGTCTTAAAAATTACTAAGAACTGCAAAGAGATTTTGTTTGTATGGCTTACATTTATTATATTTGCCATATTAGAAACTAAAATTAAAACATTACTGAACAATTTATTATAATAATAATGACAAAATTAAACCCATTATGTTGATATGTTTTATTGAAAATAACAATATCATCCAAAACAATTAGTGAGAAGAATGCCACTATTTTACATCTCAATAGAAAAAAGCTGGTTTCACATTTCTTTTTCTTTTTTTTTTTCTTTTGAGATGGTGTTTCGCTCTTATCGCCCACGATGGAGTGCAGTGGCGCGATGTTGGCTCACTGCAACTTCCGCCTCCAAGATTCAAGTGATTCTTCTGCCTCAGCCTCCCGAGTAGCTTTCTGTATTCAATCTGTTGTGATGATGTTGTTTTGCTTGAAGCGTGTAAAGAAAAGACATGACATGTCCACATGTTCTCATGTCATTTCTGTCCTCACACAGAAATGACATGAGAAAAATTGAAAAGTGTTTTGGTAACACTTTTTAGATAATTGTGGCTACTTTTGATGCTATATTCAAACTTGATGAGTTTCTTAAAGATTAGTTGCAATGTGGAATCTGAAATCGTATCAATGAATTTTTCATACATTGGTATAGTAAAGTTCCCTAGGTTATCATGCACCTTGAATGGATATTTTATTCATGTATAACACCACACATTATTTGGAAAATAT